>NC_000008.11:13799496-14102526 GCF_000001405.40 Homo sapiens | reverse complement strand
ATTAATGATTTTTTGTTTTTCCCTTAGGCTTGAATCACCCACCAGATCCTTGATCATGGAAGCTCCCCGTGGGGTCCAGGTGAGTGCTGCTGCAGGAGACTTCAAGGCCACCTGCAGGAAGGAGCTCCATCTGCAATCTACAGAAGGGGAGGTGAGTCCCAGAAAGTTGGACCCTCGCCCTATACTGCCCACTTTGAAAACACAAGTATTTAGATGTCCTATTTATAATTGACTTGTGAAGGAATATCTTTCAGTAGAAAATAAATGGAGTTGTAACTTAGGAAAGTAATATTAGGTTACCATATCTCATATTCAAGAAGTATATATTTGGGAGGCCAAGGCAGGCAGATCACGAGGTCAGGAGATCAAGAACATCCTGGCTAACACGGTGAAACCCCATCTCTACTAAAAAAAAAAAAAATTATATATATATATATATATATATATATAAAGTTAGCCAAGCATAGTGGCAGGCACCTGTAGTCCCAGCTACTTGGGAGGCTGAGGCAGGAGAATGTCGTCAACCCATTCACTCCCATTCACGAACCCATGGGAGGCGGAGCTTGCTTCATACCACTGCACTCCAGCCTGGGGCGACAGAGCGAGACTCCGTCTCAAAACAAACAAACAAACAAACAAAAGTACATATTTGTGTAATTTAAACTTTTCCACAAAGCACTTCTTTATGCTTCCCCTGGAACCATATGCATATAATTTGAGAAGAATAACGACAGTCCTTTTTTTTTTTTTAATTCTTGTTATATCTTGATATTCAGAAAGTTCTTCCAGAAAGCACTTTGGTTGTTTGTTTCCATAGAAAGAGTGCCTTTATTTATCTAAAAGGAAAACAAAAGTTTTACTGTTTAGGAATGATATTTCCTGGAATAGGATGTATACATTAGTATTTTTCTTCTATATTACCTTTATTCCCCAAGAATTTCCTTTAAATCTTGTTGCTACTCCTGCAGACATCATTTATTTTTTCTCCTGCTGTCTGCTTTAAATAATACTTTGTCATTGATGTTCTATTTTTCCACTATAAAGTGATAAGTATACATGATTATTGTTATCTGCAGAATCACATTTTTACCAATTCTGGAAATTCCCATTATTTCTTCAGATAACCTCAGATAACCTCTCCCCAATTTTCCATGGTCTTTTCCCAATTTTCTATGGTCTTTTTCTGAAACTCTGAAGACATAACTTTGCATTTTCACACCTTCCACATCTCTTACCCTCTCCTTCCCAGTTTCTTTCTCTTACTGTGCCTCATGCCACTGACTTATTCAGGTCTATATTTTCAGGGTTCTCCCCACTATCTAATCTCATATTTTATCCATACATTGAGCTTTTAATTTTAGTGATTATGTTTTTAATGTCTAGCAGTCTCATCTTTTTTTTTCAAACCTGGACATCTTGGCAGATGCTTTCATGCCAGTTCATTTTTAATTCTACCTTAGTTATTTTAAATGCTCATACATGATTTATATGCTAGTCTATATATTTTTACTACAATTTTGAAAGTTCTTGACAGTGTAAATCTGTTGTATTGCTTTTCCTACCAATACATTCCCTAGGTGTTTTATTTTCTTCTTGTGTTATTTATCGTTTTTAAATTATGAGCCCACAAAGGTCAAATTGAGAAGAAAAAGAATGAAAGGATAAGTTGAGAGGCATGTTCTGGAGTATTTCAGTCCTCTTCAGATATAATGATGAGGTCATAATTTAATACAGGCAAAAGGGGAATATTCCTTTTTTATCTCAGTTATTAATTCAAGATGAATTGTAATTATACATTTACTTCCTTTTTAAAAACAGATTTACTGGTAGGACCATATTAGAGTGTTAGCAGATATTATACCATAAGTGATCTAGCAATCTAATGTATAATATTTTGAAAATATATTAATATATTAATATAAATTAATAAAATATAATATATTATTTGAAAATATATTAATATATAATATATTAATCTAATGTATAATATTTTGAAAATATATTAATATAATATATTAATATCAGGATTTCTTTCCACTACAGTTGTAGACTACAATACTTTGTCTAACACAGTAGGACGGAAGTCTTTCTTAAACATCTTGCATTCTTTTTAAAGAGTTGCTTTGATAATGGTAACTTTCATTCAAATTGCTCATAATAAATATTGATTATTATTAATATCTATTTTGCCCCATATAAGAATCATTTACATATGTTCTTTTATTCATTTATTCATGGTATCAGCAGAGTCCTTTGATTCAATTACATATTATAACTTCATTGTCAAATGAGTATTGTGCTGTAAATAAATCATAGCCACAGGTTTTCATCTGTGGTTTTTTTTTATAGTAACAAAATAAAAGTACAGAAAGGCACAGCACTTAAAACAGCATGTATTTTTCCTATGAAGAAATATAAAATCATATAAATATATATATTTTGCTACATTGACTGTACCACAGATTTATCATTTACTAAACAATATAGAGGGATATAAAGTCCTTATCCTTAGATAGTTTTTAAACTACTTAGTATCAGTCATGGTATTGAGGTATCTAAAATGATGGATGAAATGATGGATGAAATGTAGAAGAATGAAATTGTATGTGAAATTCTGCACTGCTGAAAATTCATAGTCATTTCAGGCATAGTATTGTAAAGTATTTCAGACTCAGTCTGGAAACCAACATGAATTGTAATTGTATGGAGAATACTGTAAGTGGTATAATGGCACATGTAATACAATAACAGCATATATACCACAAGATCAAAGAAAAATAATTAATAAAGCATTTTTTTTTGAGACAGAGTCTCGCTCTTGTCGCCCAGGATGGAGTACATTGGCATGACCTTGGGTCACTGCAACCTCCACCCCCTGGGTTCAAGCGATTGTCCTGCCTCAGCCTCCCTAGTAGGTGGGATTACAGGCACCTGCCACCATTCCTGGCTAATATTTGTACTTTTAGAAGAGACAGGGTGTCGCCATGTTGGTCAGGCTTGTCTGGAACTCCTGACCTCGTGATCCTCCCGCCTCAGCCTCCCAAAGTGCAAGGATTACAGGCGTGAGCCACCGCACCTGACCAAAAACAATTTTTTGTTTTGTGAGTCCCGGGCCGGATTTCAACAGGTGACAGAAGGATAAGTGAATTCTTGGTAGAGGAAAGACACTGGACTGTGACTTAAGAGCTCAGGGATGTGATTGAGATCAGGGAAGAGTTTCAGAACCAGTGGATTATATGGTTTATAAGACAATATTGAAGAGCCATATCAATTTTAGAAGTCGGAAAGTGAACAGCGTCACTGCCTTGGCAGAACAGAAAAAGATATGCTCAAGTTCATCCATGCTGCACAAATCTAGGTAGGTGCAGGAATGCTATGTTGGAAAGAATCAATATATAGCAGCCCCTTTAATCTTATGACTTATACCTCTATCTCAAGCCAATATCATTTTCTCTAAGTACTCCATATGAATCAATTTATCTATTATAAAAAATGACTTTTTATATGGGTGGAGCTATGGTTTGGATCTCAGAAACTTATGGAATTTTAAGCACTGTAATATAGCCGAATACAATCTAAAGCAGCCCCTAAATGGATGGGAGAACCAGAGAACACCATTATGGCTATGCTGAAGCAAGCCACTCATCATAAGGCTTGAGTACTTCAAGGTTTACTCCATTGATGAGGCCTCCATAGCTCATGCTTGATTCTAAGGCTGTCACCTGCAATCCTTACTTACTCTTACAGTCATCTGATCAATCCCACATGAGCCCTCTTCTCCACATCTCCATTAGATTTTCATATCCCCCTCCTTAATTGTGTTATGTCTCAAGGTTTGTTATCCAAAACACCAGCTTTTAATATTTCTTCAAGGTGAACTCAACTCCCAGCCTGTAGACTTAAACACCACAGTCTCAGAGTTTGCCCCTAGAATACTTTTGGCATTTTCAGAGCTTGAGGATGCCTTTCCTCTGCACACATGCTAGCTCCTGAAAAGGTGTAAGGAAAAGGGACTGAACTACACAAGCCCACTTCCTCTTCCACTCAACCAATAAAAGGAATCATCTCTCATTCCCTGGGGAGAAGAGAGCCACAAGTGTATCACAAGCAAGAAGAAATGAGACCCAACATCCATACCCCCAAAATGTATTGCCTTGGGTTTTTGTTGTTGTTTGCTTAGTTTTGTGCACTTCTTGCTTTCACATCAGAAAAACAAATCTTAAAAAAATAGAACAAATTCATTTCTTTCTCTTTGCTTTCCTGTCACTTAACACAGAAGTAACTATGGGGTAATATATTTCAACATCTGACATCAATAAACACAAGCTGTAATCATGCTTTTTAACTTTGAATACTGTTGATAAATGCAGCCATTCATTTGTTTTATAATGTATTCATTTACTGAATAACTATTTGTGTTATGTAGAAGGTGTATCTACAGGGTTAAACATGGTAGGAATTACTAAAAATTCAATATGATTCTATCTTTGAGGAGGATGTATTTAGCAGGGAAAGTAAGGTGTGAAGATGGCTATAAAATACCACTTTAAGTGATCAGCAGAATAAGATATTTAAAATAAAAAACTGCAATGGGAGAGTCAAATAAAAAAGCAGGGGTTGCAATCCTAGTCTCTGATAAAACAGACTTTAAACTAACAGAGATCAAAAGAGACAAAGAAGGGCATTACATAATGGTAAAGAGATTAATGAAACAAGAAGATCTAAGTATCCTAAATATATATGCACCCAAAACAGGAGCACCCAGATTCATAAAGCAAGTCCTTAGAGACCTACAAAGAGACCTAGACTCCCACACAGTAATAGTGAGAGACTTTAACACCCCACTGTCAATATTAGTCAGATCAACAAGACAGAAAATTAACAAGGATATCCAGGACATGAACTCAGCTCTGGACAAAGGAGACCTAAGAAACATCTACAGAACTCTCCACCCCAAATCAACAGACTATACATTCTTCTTAGCACATTTCACTTATTCTAACAATGACCACATAATTGGAAGTAAAACACTCCTCAGCAAATGCAAAAGTATGGAAACCATCACAGTCTCTCAGACCACAGTGCAATCAAATTAGAACTCAGGATTAAGAAACTCACTCAAAATCACACAACCATATGGAAACTGAACAACCTGCTCCTGAATGACTACTGGGTAAATCACGAAGTGAAGGCAGAAAGAAAGATGTTCTTTGAAACCAATGAGAACAAAGACACAACATACCAGAATCTCTGGGACACACATAAAGCACTGTGTAGAGGGAAATTTATAGCACTAAATGCCCACAAGAGAAAGCAGGAAAGATCTAAAATCAACACCCTAACATCACAATTAAAAGAACCAGAGAAGCAAGAACAAACAAATTCAAAAGCTAGCAGAAGACAAGAAATGACTATGATCAGAGCAGAACTGAAGGAGATACACAAAAAAACTCTTCAAAAAATCAATGAATCCAGGAGGTGGTTTTTTGAAAAGATCAACAAAATAGACCGCTAGCCAGACTAATAAAGAAGGAAAGAGAGAAGAATCAAATAGATGCAATAAAAAATGATGAAGGGGATATCACCACCGATCCCACAGTAATACAAACTACTAGAGAATAATATAAACACCTCTAAACAAATAAATTAGAAAATCTAGAAGAAATGGATAAATTCCTGGACACATACACCTTCCCAAGACTAAACCAGGAAGAAGTCGAATACCTAAATGAACCAATAACAAGTTCTGAAATTGAGGCAATAATTAATAGCCTACCAACCAAAAAAAGTTCTGGACCAGACAGATACAAAGCTGAATTCTACCAGAGGTACAAAGAAGAGCTGGTACCATCCCTCTTGAAACTATTCCAATCAATAGAAAAAGAGGGAATCCTCCCTAACTCACTTTATGAGTCCAGCATCATCCTGATACCAAAACCTGGCAGAGACACAACAAAAAAAGAAAATTTTAGGCCAACATCCCTGATGAACATCGATTCGAAAATCCTCATACAATACTGGCAAACCGAATCCAGCAGCACAACAAAAAGCTTATCCACCACGATCAAGTTGGCTTCATCCCTGGGATGCAAGGCTGGTTCAACATATCCAAATCAATATATGTAATCAATCAATCACATAACCGTGGTTTTTGTCATTGGTTCTGTTTATCTCAATAGATGCAGGAAAGGCCTTCAACAAAATTCAACACCCCTTCATGCTAAAAACTCTCAATAAACTACATATTGATGGGATGTATCTCAAAATAATATGAGCAATTTATGGCAAACCCACAGCAAATGTCATAAGGAATGGGCAAAAACTGGAAGCATTCCCTTTGAAAACTGGCACAAGACAAGGATGCCCTCTCTTCCCACCCCATTCAACATAGTATTGGAAGATCTGGCTAGGGCAGTCAGGAAAAAGAAAGAAATAAAGAGTTTTCAATTAAGAATACAGGAAGGCAAATTGTCTCTGTTTGCAGATGACATGATTGTATATTTAGAAAACCCCATCATCTCAACCCAAAATCTCCTTAAGCTGATAAGCAACTTCAGCAAAGTCTCAGGTTACAAAATCAATGTGCAAAAATCACAAGCATAATTATACACCAATAACAGACAAACAGGGAGTCAAATCATGAGTCAACTCCCACTCACAAGTGCTACAAAGAGAATGAAATACGTAGGAATAAAACTTACAAGGGATGTGAAGCACCTCTTCAAGGAGAACTACAAGCCACTGCTCAGGGAAATAAGAGAGGACACAAACAAATGGAAAAACATTCCATGCTCATGGATAAGAAGAAACATTATCGTGAAAATGGCCATACTACCCAAAGTAATTTATAGATTCAATGCTATCCCCATCAAGCTGCCATTGACATTCTTCACAGAATTGGAAAAAACTACTTTAAACTTCATATGGAAGCAAAAAAGAGCCTGCATAGCCAAGACAATCCTAAGCAAAAAGAACAAAGCTGCAGGCATCATGCTACATGTCTTCAAACTTTACTACAAGGCTACAGTAACCAAAACAGCATGGTACTGGTACCAAAACAGAACAGCGGCCTCAGAAATAACACCATACATCTACGACCATCTGAACTTTGACAAACCTGACAAAAACAAGCAATGGGAAAAGGATTCCCTATT
Source organism: Homo sapiens (assembly GCF_000001405.40). Classification (NCBI taxonomy): domain Eukaryota; kingdom Metazoa; phylum Chordata; class Mammalia; order Primates; family Hominidae; genus Homo; species Homo sapiens. The sequence goes on along the minus strand of NC_000008.11, from coordinate 14,095,372 downwards.
TAATAAATGGTGTTGGGAAAACTGGCTAGCCATATGCAGAAAGCTGAAACTGGATCCCTTCCTTACACCTTATATGAAAACTAACTCAAGATGGATTAAAAACTTAAACATAATACCTAAACCGTAAAACCCTAGAAGAAAACTTAGGCAATGCCATTCTTGACATAGGCACGGGCAAAGACTTCACGATTAAAACACCAAAAGCAATGGCAACAGAAGCCAGTATTGACAAATAGGATCTAATTAAACTAAAGAGCTTCTTCAGAGCAAAAGAAACTATCATCAGAGTGAATAGGCAACCTGCAGAATGAGAGAAAATTTCTGCAATGTACCCATCTGACAAAGGGCTAATATCCAGAATCTAAAAAGAACTTAAAGTTACAAGAAAAAAAAACCATCAAAAAGTGGGCAAAGGATATGAACAGACACTTGTCCAAAGAAGATATTTATGCAGCCAACAAACACATGAAAAAAAGCTCTTCATCATTGGTCATTAGAGAAATGCAAATCAAAACCACAATGAGATACCATCTCACGCCAGTTAGAATGGTGATCATTAAAAAGTCAGGAAACAACAGATGCTGGTGAGGATGTGGAGAAATAGGAATGCTTTTACACTGTTGGTGGGAGTGTAAATTAGTTCAACCATTGTGGAAGACAGTGCGGAGATTCCTCAAGGATCTAGAACCAGGAATACCATTTGACCCATCAATCCCGTTACTGTGATTATACCCAAAAGATTATAAATCATTCTACTATAAAGATACATGCACACGTATGTTTACTGTGGCACTGTTCACAATAGCAGGGACTCGGAACCAACCCAAATGCCCATCAATGAATGACTCGATAAACAAAATATGGCACATATACACCACGGAATACTGTGCAGTCATAAAAAGGATGAGTTCATGTCCTTTGCGGGGACATGGATGATGCTGGAAACCATCATTCTCAGCAAACTAACACAAGAACAGAAAACCAAACACCACATGTACTCCTAATTGGGAGTTGAACAATGAGAATACATGGACACAGGGAGGGGAATATCACATCTGGGTCCTCTCTGGCATGGGGGGGCTAGGGGAGGGATAGCATTAGGACAAATACCTAAGTAGATGATGCGTTGATTGGTGCAGCAAACCACCATGGCACATGAATACCTATGTAACAAACCTGCATATTCTGCACACATACCCCAGAAATTAAAGTATAGTTAAAAAAATCTTTTTAAAAAAAGGGTTTTTCTATCTTGGGGCGTCAGGGAATGGTATATGGAAGAGAAAACAGATGAACTGGGCTTTGTTGGGAGGTGGGTTTGTAACTTAGAGGGGAGAGATGTGTTCAAGGTGAAGAAAAGGCATCATGTAATTCATGCACTTCACAATTCCATGCCCTATTCTATATGGATGAACCAAAGACAGGCCCTATCCTCATGGATCTTATTGTAAGTAGAAGAAACAAACAATGAATGAATACAAATGTAACATTACAAATGGATTTTTACTATAGAGAAAAGTATAACTGTTAATGAGAGAAGAAAGATTAGCATTATTTTAATAGAGTGTTTAGAAAAGTTATTTCCAAGGAGGTGACCTTTGGAGAATTGGAGCAAATTTGTTTGCATCCAAATTGACCTAAAATATATATACTTATGATATATGAATTCTTTTTCTGGCTTAATTGTAGTGTGCAGTAGTCTTATGGTTCAGAAATTTAAAAAGCATCAAAAAAGTGGAAAGCTACCTCCCATCCATATTTCACAACCACCCAGTTAATATCTCCCCCCACTCATTAAATCTCTGGAGAAAAGTATTTCGGTTTGAGGAAATAGTAAAAATACTATGAGGCCATAGTGCTTTTGCTATTTTTGAGAAAATGCAAGAACTGGAGCAAGAGGAAGAATTACAGGAAATGATGTTAGAGAGATAGGCCAGATCTTGTAGGTAGGGCCTTTGGGCCATGGAAAGACATCAGGATCCAATTGAAGTGTGGGGGATGACATCAGAGTGTTTTGAGCAGTGTAGCAAGATTATTTGATTTGCGTTTCTTAAAAGTTCACTCTAGGAATATGTAAAGTCAATGACAGGAGGACAAAAATCGGCCACCAGGAGGCCAGATAGGGGACTATCACAGGAGTCCTAGTACAAAACAAATGGAATTTAGATGAGGGAGGGCAAAGAGAGAGAAAGCAGAATATTCTCTCCTACTCCTGTCAATTTAGGGATACCCTTCAGACAATCATAAGCTATATATCAGTGGAAACAAGAAACAGCTGGAGAGAGCTATTTCTTTGCTCAAATTCAAGATCCGTTTTTTTTCTTTTTCTGAAACTTTCTCCATGCATGTCAGAGCCATACGATCACTGTCTCTCAAAGTGGTGAGTCCATGATTTAGAATAAAGCATTTTCCAAGTTAGAAGATTTAGCAAAGTAGGTATTGAACATAGGTAATATGTTTCATGGAGACTTCAAATCTAATTATAGACAATAATTATATATTGTTCACTGTGCTGATTAGCTACTGTATTGGTTCATTTTTACATTGCCGACAAAGACATACCCGAGACTGGGTAATTTATAAAGAAAAAGACAATTAATGTATTCACACTTCCACGAGGCTGGGGAGGCCTCACCATCATGGCAGAAGGCAAAAGGCGCATCTTATGTGGTGGCAGGCAAGAGAGAAGGAGAGAACCAAGTGAAAGGGGTTTCCCCCTTATAAAACCATCAGATCTTGTCAGACTTGTTCACTACCCTGAGAACAGCATGGGGGAAACTGCCCCCATGATTTAACTATCTCCCACTGGGTCCCTCCCACAATACATGGGAATTATGGGGGTTACAATTCAAGATGAGGTTTGGGTGGGGACACAGCCAAACCATATCAGCTACTTAGTATATCCTTTGGATTAAAAGTCCACACACTTTTATGAGTATTAAAAAATATGAAAATGGCCATACTGCCCAAAGTAATTTATAGATTCAATGATATCTCCATCAAGCTACTATTGACATTCTTCACACAACTGGAAAAAACTACTTTAAATTTCATATGGAACCAAAAAAGAGCCCACATAACCAAGACAATCCTAAGCAAAAAGAACAAAGCTGGAGGCATCACGCTACCTGATTTCAAACTATAATACAAGGCTACAGTAACCAAAACAGCATAGTCCTGGTACCAAAACTGATCTATAGACCAATGGAACAGAACAGAGGCCTCAGCAATAACACTAGATATCTACAACCATCTGAACTTTCACAAACTTGACAAAAACAAGCAATGGGGAAAGGATTCCCTATTTAATAAATGGTGTTGGGAAAACTGGCTAGCCATACGCAGAAAGCTGAACCTGGATCCCTTCCTTACACCTTATACAAAAACTAACTCAAGATGGATTAAAGACTTAAACATAAAACCTAAAACTGTAAAAACCCTAGAAGAAAACTTACTTAGGCAATGCCATTCAGGACATAGGCATGGGCAAAGACTTCATGACTAACACACCAAAAGCAGTGACGACAAATGGGATCTAATTAAACTAAAGTGCTTCTGCCCAGCAAAAGAAACTATCATCAGAGTGAACAGGCAACCTACAGAATGGCAGAAAATTTTTGCAATCTGTCCATCTGACAAACGGTTAATATCCAGAACCTACAAAGAACTTAAACAAACAAATTTACAGGAAAAAAGCAAACAATTCCATCAAAAAGTGGGTGAAGAATATGAACAGACATTTCTCAAAAGAAGATATTTATGCAGCCAACAGACACATGAAAAAATGCTCATCATCACTGGTCATTAGAGAAATGCATATCAAATCCACAATGGGATACCATCTCAGGCCAGTTAGAATGGCAGTCATTCAAAAGTCAGGAAACAACAGATGCTGGGGAGGATGTGGAGAAATACACTGTTGGTGGGAGTGTAAATTGGTTAAACCATTGTGGAAGACAGTGAAGACATTCCTCATGGATCTAGAACTAGAAATACCATTTGACCCAGCAATCCCATTTGTGGGTATATACCCAAAGGATTATAAATCATTCTACTATAAAGACACATGCACACTTAAGTTTATTGCGGCACTCTTCACAATAGCAGGGATTTGGGACCAACCCAAATGTCCATCAATGACACACTAGATTAAAAAAATGTAGCACATATACACCATGGAATACTATGCAGCCATAAAAAAGGATGAGTTCATGTCCTTTGCAGGGACATGGATGAAGCTGGAAACCATGATTCTCAGCAAACTAAAACAAGAAAAGAAAACCAAACACTGCATGTTCTCACTTGTAAGTGGGAGGGGAACAATGAGAACACATGGACACAGGGCAGGGAACATCACACATCCGGGCCTGTCAGGGGGATGTGACGGGGAAATCTATGGGATTTTTTAAGAAATTAAATTGAGAGACTGTCAAAATCATTAATTTTCTGTGGTGTTTAAGTAACTGGGTTGGCCCCTTAAGCGTATTGTATGATGTTGCTTTTCAGATTGAGGGCTTTCTGTCAGAATGCACCATCTCCCAAAGGAGAAGATAGCTGCAGATATTTTGGACTCTACTGTAGGAATGTAATTTGTTTGTTCAACAAAGCATGGCAGCTAAACCATGGAATTGTTTGTTGTGTCGACTTCCTTATTAGACCATGTTGAGGAGGGATGTAGATTACTCGATGCTACATTTCTAAAATGAATTAAAATGCAATTTCTTTTTTCCCATAGATATTTTTAAATGCAGAGACAATCAAGCTGGGAAATCTACCAACTGGCTCCTTCTCATCTTCTTCACCCAGCTCCTCAAGTTCTCGACAGACAGTGTATGAACTCTGCGTCTGCCCCAATGGCAAACTTTACCTTTCTCCAGCAGGAGTAGGTTCCACTTGTCAGTCCAGTAGCAACATCTGCCTGTGGAGCTGAAGTGACTGATTTCTCCTCACACCAGAATAGCCTTTTGTTCCTGTCCGTCTGCTTCACAGTTCTGCTCGGTTTCCCTTGTGATCAGTCCAGAGCTTCTTCGAATGGTCCACAGAGCAACTTCCAGTGTGAGCAGGGATTCGCCACCACCTTCTCTTGTGATTTACTGTACTGCTCAACACAGAGGGTGTGATTGACACAGCAGTGGAAAAAGCGTCGTCAGCAGGAAAACTGGATCATGACTTTTGCTCGAAAGGGAGAATAACATAGGTGCCTTTGCTACGCGAAGTGAAGCACACAGTTTTAGATTTTTGCAGGACCTGGATATGAACTGCACATATATACATTACATAAATGAAATTCCCAGTATCCAATGGCAAGATGAAATGGTTAACCCTGTAAGAAAACTTATTCTACATTCTGAAAGCACAATTTTCCATTCATCTTTTTGGATGTAAACTTTTATCCCCGACTTTTAAAATTTTAAAGCATTATGTAATGCTTGCTTTACTAAAATTTAAATTCAATACATGGTTTTTAACAAAACAGAACAAAACAAAACAATACAGAATCTCTCCCTGAGTTTTCCTTCTGTTTCTTTAATTTCAATGTGCTGTTACTCTTTGTCTACTAAGTCTAGAATTTTGTACATCAGGTAATTTTGAAAGCACTCAGCAATATATCCTTTACAGAATTAACAAAATGCCATTATAATGTCATTGGTCAGATCTGGATGGCCTTATATAGTATTTACATGGCTACTGCATGTGACGTATTTGCTTTTAACAAAACATCTACTCTATTGCAATATAAGACAGGATTAAGAAGGATATGTTGATGGTATTAAATCCATAGATGATTTTTAAAAAATTCACATGCTATCCTTTACACCTAGGTTTTAATAGTATAATTTTTGTTTGCTCCACTCACTCTGCACTTGATTCTGACTGCTAAAATTCAAACATCTTCTAAATAAATAATACTAATATGATGCATAATGCTGAGAATAAATTCTCTTTCCATTGGGGTATCATCTTCAGAATTATTCTCCATCTATTTTTTATTGGAGGTTAAGATTTAAAGAAGTCAGAAGCTAACTAAAATTTCTTGACTAAACAGTAAAAATGACAAATGCTAATAAATATTGAAAATGTGTTTACTTCACTACATTCATATTTTAGGGAATTTAGTCCCATTTCTATTCAGCTGTTAACATATATTTACTTTTATTAGATCGTTGTTAGGCTACCCTGACCTCAAAAATTATAGTTCTTTTCATTTTCCAATGCTTATTTTTGTATATGACCTCTTAGTAAACAACTCCAGAATACTGAATATTCATTTATCACAGCACCCCTTAACTCAAACTCTTGAAACTTACAGAGTCAAAGAATGTAAAACTGTATTAAGTATTTCCTATTATGGGAAGATGACTTAATTACTATAAGGTAAGTCCTGAATTTTCACATGTCAATCAAACGTTTTTCTCCCTCATGCACACTATCAACATTTGTGTTGAAACTTCCTTTTGGGGATTAATGGCTGTAGAGTCTTTGGAGTTCAGGTGTCTACAGCTCAGAGTGAACTGGGAGATTAGAACTTGTTGCAAAAGATGTGGTTAGTGAAAGTAGAAATATTGGCAATGCAAGAAGAAAAGTGAAATATTTGACCAGAATTATCTTGTTTGCATAACCTAGCATATCAAATAACTGAAAAAGCTCATTTCCACTGTACTCAGCAGAAGGGTTCAAAGGCTAATTTATTACTGTTAAAATAAAATGTGATTATATTTGGGTGTTATTATATAACTTTTTAAATCAATATTGAAATAAGAATTTATGATATACGATTGCTTACAAAGTTATAACACAAGAGTTTAATTTATATTAAAATAAGAGAATTTAATATAAGAAATCTCACATTGGTCTTTGCAAAATAAAGTATAATACAAGAAATATTGAGAAATTATGTGTGCTAATCACTATATTATGGACTTTTAAGGAAAACATTATGTAGTAATTTAATTTAAGACATATTCAAGTTCTAATCATCCTTCCATTAAAACAATTAGAAACTTTCTAAGTCAAATGGGAATAATTCTTTTGATTAGGAACTGGCCCTGTTTCTAATCTCAGCTGTCTTCTACTAATCAATTGAGCTGTTTTAGGCAGTTCGAGAATCTCTCCAGGCTTCAGTTTACTCAACTTCACAGCAAAAGTATTGAATAAAATAGTCTCTTGGGGTTCCTTTCTGTTCCAACATGTTCTAATTTCAAGTTCTAATTCAAGTTCTAATTTCAAAATTACAAAAGGCAAAAGAGAAAAATGAAATTTTAAATTATATGTCATAAGAGGAGAAAAGATGAAAAAAAAAGTGAGAAAAAAAGATGTAAAAACCGATTCCAGTGAGGGACTGACACATTTTTAATTCAAATGCATTCTGAGAAGTATAGACATAATTCAAAAGTAACTTACAAGCTTGAGAGCTTTAGACTGTATCCAGATGATATAACAAATCGGTTCAGTACAGTAGAAAATATAGTGATAGCGATGGCTTTCCTATTCAACACCAAATAATTGCTTTAAGTTATCTGACTAGCTGTTTCAGATTTCTGAATCTAAGCCAAGATCCCTGCCTCAGAGAGATCAAGCCTATTGTGAAGGCTTAGAAGAATGGCCCCAAATGTCCTCGTTTTCCACATTCAAACACAAAAAAGCATTTTTTTTTTTTTAAAAATATAGTGGTCCCTTAATTGCACAGTACCCTAACAGATTATGTTTTCCCAGTACCATCTTTATGTTACAATATGTATAAATAAAATGCAGTTTACTTATATAAATTTCATCTTCCCCAAATGACACTGAGAAAAATGAGTCCTTTATAGTGTACTACATGGATGCGACTAAGCTATCTTATTACCCGTATCTTAATAACTTCATACTCAGTGTACGCCAGGAAGGAACAAACGGAAGAAGAAAAAGAGGTTGGTAGTTTTGCTAGCATTTAAGTTATTTGCCAGGAATGGATAAACCGAGATGTATCTGAATTCAGGTTTGGGGGATCACAAAAGGAAAGATGCAAAGAGGACACATTATTCTTTTCTTTTTCAGAAGATTTCAATTAAATACTTCAAAAAAAAACAGCAAGAACAACAAAAACTTCCAAATTTCCTACTTCCCTTGTTCAACATTTCCAAAATTTCTATCCGGTACTTACTTATTAGTCATACACACACATACACACATTTATGTCTAAAATATATATATTTTATTGTGAATGATATGTTTTATAATTTGGCACATAATTATTTATCTAAGAGTTTAAGACAATTATACACCTCAAATTTTACTGTAACTTAGGAATCTTAGATTACAGTACTTCAAATCTCGGAAAATGGAGCCAGCAATTCCAGTTCTAGTTCTGCCCCTGGCTAGTCATGTGAACTTACCTACTTAAGACATATATTTAATTACGTTGGTCACAGTTCACTTATCTGTGAGAGGGGTATATCAAACTAGACATTTCCTTTAGTCACATTCATTTTTAAGTTTTTCTGATTCAGTTAAGGAAGCACTCATAAATCTTAGGTTAAGTAGCCATATCTGAACTAGCATTTGTGATCTCCTTCTGCACCTTAAAAAGCTGCTTATAAAAGTTGAAATACAAACCTTTTTGGCACGCTACTTCCTATGCTCTTTTTTATACTCCCTTTTACACTCTTAACATTTGAACATTAAGGTTCCTTTGGAAAAATCATGCCTGGTTAACAGGATTCAGTAATATGGTTGACGTTAAAAAGGAAAATAATGCATTTGGATCTTATTCAAAATGACTGTTTAGGAAATTAATAGAAATATTAACCAAATATGAACATTCTGTGATTATTACCTCCATAAAGCTAAAAAGCAGTGATCTTTTGAAGAAATGATAATGTGATCACAGAGGTTAATTGCTGAACTGTTTTATTCCATTCAAAATTCCTACATATTCTATCGAATGACTCAATCAGAGAATGCCTCGTTTTACAAAAATAGCATTTGATACAATAAAACTCCTAATAAATTATTTCATTGCAAACATGGTATCTCTGTATGAGGCAGCAATAGCCTGGAGAGCGTCTAATGCATATGAGTGTTATATTTCATAGCAGAGAATGTCAACATAATAATGTTAAATTATTAAAATCATTGAAAGTATTTAATAGCCAAATTTTCTATAAAATCCTCAAAGCCAAATTCATATTTGAGTTTTATATGAGTGAGGTCTTGTCACCTAATTCTTCAAATAGCTGTGGTCTAATAAGAGTTGTTCATGTGATCATATTTAATGACATATGGAGAAATTATTTGCTCTATGTACTGGTGTATATTACAGTAATGAACACTACAAAATATCATTATCACAAAGGAAATTTGCATTTGTATTCATTTTAAATAATCATAAACTAATCAATAATTTAATTGAACACTGTTATTCATGTTGTTTTATACTGAAATTTATTAGTTGTTTAAATGTCAAAGACCAAAGAATGGGATTTCTATTGTATTTAACTCTAAAACACTGCTGCTCCTACTAATTTATTCAAATGAATAGGGGGGCTTATAATTATAACATGAGGTAGTAAACATCCTTCTTGGAGGATCCTGAGTTGTATAAATTAAGGAATGCTTTTGTTTCAGAAGGGAAACATCATTAGTGTGGTCCACTTTTCTTTTATACATGCATAACAAACTCCTTGGTATTCATAAAACCTATATGCAAAGACCGTATCCCAAAATGGGCCCAGCATGGATCTCCTCAGCTGAGTTTCAACTTTCACTGCTTGCTGAACACTATTTGGAGAATAAAATTTGAAATACTTGTAGAACCAGAGGGCTATTTTTTAATTGTTAACTGAGGTGGCTCTGCATTTTGAGAAAGCCAATGAAAACCATTAAAGGAAATGAGATATAATGAACTGTAGTTATTTTTTGTTTTTTTCAGTCTTAGTATCTCATTTGTTTGCGTATTTATAAATAAAAACCAAACAGGGTTAAAGATGGGCAAGGACATTCATTAACAATGGAGATATGTAATCTGGAGTTTGAGTGTCTCGTTATTTATACAATTCTTTAAATCAGGTCCACTATTCATTTATTTTGTTTTGTACTTTCATGTAAATGTTTTCTTGTATATATAGATATATGAAAAATGGAACTATTTTCTTACACATACTATGCAACATGTTTGTAAAATTGCAATATTACCAAAATTACAAAAGCTGTGCTTTTGTACTCTATCTTGCTTTATGTAAAATCACTTTTTCTATTTAAATGGACTGTCTGCCCTATAAACTGTAGATAACATATCTATTCAAAAATCAGTCTATTGTATCTTTTGTTTAGATGGAACTTAATTGGGGTATATTTTGGGGGAGAGAAAATGCAGCAAAGTTTTGGCAATTGGAAACCTTTTTTTCTCTGAAATGAGACCTTTTGAAGCATGCAATGAGCTCATATAATTTAAGATCTCTCCTGTGATTCTTGTAATTTGTCCTAATTTTGGTGCTACTATGTAACCATGATTAAATGTGATAGTCAAAACAAAGAGGATAAAAACTTACATGATATCATTTCATTTATTTTCTTGAGTTTTTAAAAATAGTTCAAAGAAGAGGGGTATGAGTATTAGTCAGTAGAGACCTTTTCAATTCTGTATTTTAAAAATCAGTTAAATTAAGATGTATGTTTTAAAAATATTAAGCTTAATCCATATATCTATACTGGATAAAATGCTTCTCTAATGAAAACCTGGGCACACTGTCCCTTTTAAATATATGACTAATAAAACTGAAGAATTTTAACGATAAAATCACCACAGTTTATCAAACAATTAGCTAATAGTTTATTCATTCTAGAGTCCCTCTGATTTGATTTTTGGGATAGGACAAAAAAAACTACTATGTGCACAAACTTATACCCCTACATATACATAATCAAACTACACACAAAAATACACATATATGCAATGGTAAATATAATACAATATATATACAATAATATAAACACATGCTAATCATTACTTATTTGATGTATTTCTTCATTTCCTTGTTACCTTATCTCTTAATCCAGGAGGACTTGAGGCAATGGCATGGACTTTGTTAACTTTTAGCAATATATCCAGTCCAATATTGTACATACCTTGTAAGTGACATTGTGCCACATTGTTTCCAAAACTAAGACAAAAACAGTATTCACGAGAAACCTTTTCCCCCCAAAGAGTCACTATTAGCTTTTTTCTTTGCTGTCGAAGCGTCTCTACACACTGTTCCAGATATTAGTTACAAAAACAAAAACAACCGTTTACATTCCTCATGCAGACTTCCTGATATTAAATCTAAACAGAACACAAATGAGTGCTTTCAGCTCAGGGAAGCATATCTATTCTATGACTTTAATTTCCAAGAAAGTTTTGGACGGTTCAGATATGTGTGCAAACAAATACTTGAATACTTATTTCCAGCAGATTCTTAGGCCATTTACCAACCATAGTAATGCCTGAATTTGGTAATCTCTTTCTCTTAATAGTGGGGCAAATAAGGAAAAAGCAGTTTTTTTCTATACCCACACTCAACACTGTGATCAGATGTGTAGTTTTTCCCCACAATAACCAATACTCCCATGCCAGCTGCATGTCCTACCGTTTAATTCCATTTCAATGCCAACTGAAATTAGCACTGATGCCATAGGTTAAGGGCTCATTGCCACACATTTCTCCCTTTTTCAGACCCCAGGCACAAGTGATAGGACCCCAGGTTACCCACAATTCCTGTCTGAACGGGCTACAAATCCCATGACCCCTTGGATTTGATAATTTACTAGACTGGCTCACAGAACTGAGGAAAACAGTTTATTTCCTACTGCTGATTTATTACAAAGAGTATTTTGAAAGATACAAATGAACAGCCAGATGAAAGGCATGTAAGCTGAGGGTTAAAAGGGTCCAGAGGGCAGGGAGTTGGGGCTTGTCACTCTCACAGCACATGGATGTGTTCATCAACCCAGAAGCTCTGAACCGCATAGTTTTGGAATTGTTATGGAGGCTTCATCACACAGGAATGATTAATTATATACTCCAATCCTCCCACCCCCACATCCTGCTAGAAATTGGAGAGTGAGGCTGTCAGTCCCAAGCTTCTAGTCATGGCTTGGTCTTCCTGGTGACCAGCTTCCTTCCAGGATCCCACAAAGAGGCACCGCATTTGAATAAAAGACACTACTATCACTCAGGAAACTACCAAGGTCTTAGGAATTCTGTGTCAGGAACTGGCTTAAAGACCAAATATGAAAACGAAAAGTTCTCCTAGGATCCCTACTTACAGGGGTTTTAGGTGCTCTGTGTTAAGAACCAGGGACAGGGACTGATACATAAGCTCTTATTATTACACATGGGACTATTGAGAATAGAGGTTGGGAATGGGTATTTAGCCAGGTAATTCAGTGCAATATTATATTGATGTTTTCATCAATTGGTGTATCACTAAAATAATATCACCATGATTCCTGTATCACTAAAATAACTGATCCAGAAATAGCACCTGTGTGAATTTTAAACGTTCCTGTTACTTCTTCTAATTACCAGGTAGAAGCTTACCCTCTATGGGGAGGTCACATAACAAAATTTGAAGCGAAGGCTTTTTTTTACATTTCTCTTTCCCTCTTGGTAAGAATTATTACTTGCCCTGAAAGCACGTTTTATGGTAATGGAGAAATCTTCATTTTATAGTACTCACTAATACTTTTTTTAGTTAATAAAAATTATTCTAACTGAAAAAAAGATCACTTGATTTATTTAAAATATAAATTGAACACCTAGTTTTTTCATCACTCAAAGAAACACCATTGATACAAAAAAGAGAAAGACTATGTCAGAAAAAAAGATTTAAGGGCAGATTATAGATATATACTCAACAGTTTCTCAAAAACATGGCCAAATCACTAATTTTTTTAAGTGGTGCATATAAATCATGAAGCTAAAATGAGTAAACTGGCTTAGTCCAACAATAATGCTTAGTATATTTTATAAGCTACAACTAAATGTTACATCAAATTAGTTTTTGCAGATATTTTTAGTAGATCTAGCCATATTTTCTATGTTACTTATTTTCTCTATACAGCTGTTTCCAGAAGGATGTAAGTTTTCTTACAATATGGAGTAAGACAAAAATATTAAAGAAAAACCATAGAGGAGACAGAAATAACAAAAAGGATAAACAATATGACTATTAAGTGTGTTGAATATTACATGTATGTTTAAGTTTCCTGTAGGCCAAAGATTTAAGGGGAAATAGTATAGATACGTCATTCTCAACTTTTGAGAACATATACACCATTTATTCATAACATATAAAATATTTCCTTACGTTAAATCTAAGAGATTATTATTTATTCAAGGATGAAGAAAACCTGATGTGTTAATTTTATTAAAATTTTAACATTAAAATTAATTTTATTAAAATTATTAGATTTATTAATAATTTTAGTGCTTTTTATCTATTTACTTAACAGTTACAGAAGATATTATGGGATTGTTCAGAGCACTGCAAAGCATGAAAACCTCAATTGATTCACAATTACGAATCCTTAAAATATGCATAAAATACCAAGATGTGTAAAATGTCGAACATAAATAGAATGGATCCAAAGCATCTGTGAACTAGCCAGATATTTTTCCAAAAAGGCATCTAGTTTCTCTTGTTATACAGTTTTATGTGTATTATATAATAGTGTCTATAGATGAGTTGATCATGCAATGTAAAAGAGTAACAATTTTAAAAGTATTGTAGATAAAAAGTCTTGGTAAAACTCTAAATTTTAAGAACACGATAAACCCAGTACTTTCCTACTATTTACAACTTGCTACAAGATTCTGAATTCACTGGGCACCACAACTAAAGCCTTTGAGACATCATAAGAAAAGTCACCTATTAGCTTTCAAAATTAATTAAGGAAATATAAAGCCGAAGAAAGACATAGCCAAAATTCTAGAAATACGTAATACTTTGTTCCATTGGGTCAACTGAATTACTAAATTAGATTTTATAGATCATCTTGAATTTATAGCTGATTTAATGACATTCCACTAAGTTTTGAATGCACAGCACAGAATATGAAGTCAATATTTAAAAGTAAGCTGAAAGTCTTGAAAAATAAATTTAATAAATTACCTCAAAGCAAAAGTCTAATAGACAAAAATTCATAAGAATTGAAACTTCTAATTAAAAAATTAAAAGAATAAATATACATTTCCTTTTACATTTCATCTTTTGAAGTCTGTATTTATTTTGTAATGACTTGTTATTTATCTTGAAGAAATATAAATCCATAAGTAAAATGAATTTTATTTTTTCAAAAGGAGGATCAGTAAATTTGAAGTAAAAAAAATCAGACTTTAATTCCTGTGTTTCATTTTAGATGTCATTCAATAATCTATATACACCTAATCTAAGTGAGAAGTTTAGACAAGATGTGATTGTACATGGATTTCACTTGGCATGCTAACTCTGATCAGTTGAAAAGGGCTATCACAATGGAACCCTGGATATTGAGAATGGTTTAGGAATAAGTTTAAGCTCTCCAGAAAAGTGGCATGATCATTTGTAGTGTCAAAGTTCTGGAATGATTGACTCACTCGCACATCTGTTCTATTTTTTCAGTCAGATGATCTCAAGGCCTTTCAGCTCAACACTGGGCCTGTTTCCTGATGGTAAAATAAGGGGAGTGAATGCCAAATATTTTTTAGATGCATCAATGTTACTTTAGTATCCTTTACAGTTTTAATGTATTTAATCCTGTGCTATCATATTTTTTATTCTAATATAGAAGTATAACATATGGAGCTATGTACTGAAATGAAAGGAATAAGGAAGGTGGCAACTGAGGTGGCAAGTTGTCACGCATTTGACAAATTATGGTCCATTATGTAATTCAAAGTACCCAATGGAATAATCTGGGTTATGGAAGTTATCTGAGTTCTGGATAACAACTTTACTTGGTAGTATGCTCTTCAAAGATAAAAGTAAATAAACTAACACGAATTAAGCATATATTGTTTATTGTACAATGAATTAATTGGTTACTTTTAAAATTATAATCTCAAAAATTTTTGAATTAAGTTCAACTAATCCAAGTTTTATAGACAAGAAAACTGTGTTTCAGAGAAATTAATGTATTACTTTTTCTATATTTTAGTTCATTCATTTGCTCATGTATTTAATAAATAGTAAGAAGCACCTCCATATATCAGGCATTATTCTAGGTGCTGCTGAACAACCTGGTCAATCAAACAAGGATAGGCAAGGCCAAACTCTCCTGGAGCTTTTGGGCAGTGGGAGAAATGGAGACTACAAATAACATAAAAATAAATAAACGAGATAATGTCATGATGTGGAAAATTCTATAAAGAAAATAAGCAATGGCATGGTCACAGGCTGAGTTTCATTTATTATGAGAAGTGTGTTAAAAATAAGAACTTTATCATTTCTAATTATAAAGGCCTTCTGTAGTAGGATATGCGCCTCCTCAAACATTTGAATACCAGGGTGTCAATTAGGAAAATAGAGTCAAGAGATGAGTGGCTAAGATATTATGCTGGATTTCAAATGGATAAAAGAATGCTATAACTAGAGAAATAAAAAGCAAGAATAAACTTTTACTGTAATTTTTAAATCTACAGTTGCTTTCTAAATCATGAACTGGTATTACATTTTCAATGACTCACATGTAAGATACTTTCTCATGGTATTGGACAAATTCTATTTTAACACAGACCATCATTCCTGTTGATTTTACCTACCGGTGGCATGAGGAAAACTAGGCTAGTTTGAGTGTGAGGATGACCCAGTACTAAGCATCTATTTTTTTTTTTTTTTTTTTTTTTTTTTTTTACTTTGGAATGCCCACTCGCTCCAAAAATCTCAAAAGGGGACTCTAGTGATGGGAAATGTGAACCTTGATGTCCTGAGTAATATGAATGCGTGCTCATTGTGTAATCACATTCTACCGGGGGCCATATTGCATCTGGACTCTGTTTTTATAAAATGCTAGAAACTCTCAGTATGGCTCATTTCATGTCTAAAGATTTATTTTGGAGTTTCTTTTTCTCCTCATGTGAGGTGTGGTAGAATGAGTTAGCTATAAAATTAACCTGAGTATTACCACTAAATATATGCCAAGCTAACACAGTTTTGTGCACTCTTGCTCGCTCGCTCTCTCTCTCTCTCTCTCCCTCCCTCCCCAGCCCTCCCCTCCCTCCCTCGGACAAATCTGTTGAGTCAGATGTTCCCACATCATTGTGGAATATCTTATTTGTAGTCTTCATTATGGTTTGGCATGATTCTTTCTATCCCTGAAATGTTATAATGATTAAGTGATAAATTATTAGCATTTTGAATTACTGTGAAGGCATTTAAAAATATTTATCAATGAACACATTAAATTATGAACCTAAATTATGGTTAAAAAACCCTAAAAGGAGGTGGAATCATATAAATGAGACAGAAGTAGGGTAAATTATTCTTTTAAAATGGGGTATCCTAATGTTTTATACTATTTAGGGTACCTCAGGGTATAGTTTGATAAATCTTCATAGCCAACCATATTGATTAGCCTAAAAACACTGTAGCATTTAGAAGCCCAAATATTCAACTTTGAAACTATCAATACGTTATACAGAGAAGTCTGGATCAGATAACTTTTCAACTAGGAAATTTCAGATTTTATATTTTATAGTATACAGGCCAGGTCATTTTCCTGAATCCAACTTGTGATTGTGTTCATGGTTATCTCATCATAGGCACCATGGAAAATGAATAGTAAGAAGTAATTAGAACAATTAAAGCACAGAAAAACAATGGAAACAGAGATCCAGTATCTAATATGAGCAACTTAAAAGAAACTGCCTTTTGCATTATATTAACTCTGTGGTTTCCAAAGCTGAATCAGTTCAGTTTGGTGCTATACCTATTATCAGTGGTGACACTAAAATACATCCCAAGCCTCTGCAGTATGAGACTTATCCATTAACTGCCCACATTGGTTAAAAAAAAAAAAATGACATACCTTATTTTTGCCATCCCCTAAACAGGTATAAGCAAATTAATACAAATTTCATCTGGACTTCTAAAAAAAATACACATTCTTCTAAGAAATAGTATTTAAGTGTTGTTTAATAATTTACTTTAACTAAGGTAAAGTTACTTTGTTAATTCCGGGCCAAGAGAGTGGCCTGCCCAAATTCAGATCATAATCACAAAGGTTAAAAAAATACTTACTATATTGAAGACCAGTGAGAAGAAAAGTAATTGAACTTAATCTGCTTGAACTTTATCTTTCTCATTGTTTTTGTTTTGTGTTATTTATAATCAACATTTTAATCCACATTCAGGAAATGTTTACATACAATTGTGCTCTATTTTTTTGTCTCCTATTAGTTGAAGTAATATTGATCCAGTTGGGTTAATTTGATAATGTGATAAATGCAAAAACTGTTAACTTTAAAAGAGTACATGCAAGAAAGGTTAGAGCAATGTTTGAACTTGATAGCTATTTTTTAAACATGTACAGTTCTTTTTTACATAATTTATTCATATATTCTGAAATTCAAATGCTGCAAGAAAATGTAAAAAATGGTATTTTATCTGCAACACTGTGTTAAGTTCCTCTGCTATAATGGAGAAATATATTTAACATATGTGTGTAAAGGCAAAATTTATTTTAATTATCAGAAAATGGTTTTCTTTGTGTCCTGCAATGACACTAGGTTCTGTAATGATGTGCAAATGATAATCCAAGGAAATTCCAAATGTTTACTTGCCTTAGAACAGTGATCAGTCTTTGATATATATAGTTTATATAATTATATATATTTTGAAAATTAAAGGAAATGGATAAGCAAAAAGTAGTCAAAAGTTGAAGGCAATTATTCTCATAAAAATGCAGAATTTATGTTTAACTCAAAGCCATTATTTGCAAATATGGTCCCCTCCATGATGGCTTTAACAATTGAAATATATATGTAATACACAAATAATAGGCAGATGCTATCCTTCAAGTGAAACAATTCTTGCCAGCCTGGCTTCTCAGTCCATGATTTGTAGACTAGTCTTTTTTCATGATCTTAGAAAAGAAAACTTGTCTCAAAAATCAACAAACAGAAGGTAAATTACTTGGCTGAAAATATCAATTGTTCATTGAGTAAGTTGGCATCTTTCTGAATCTTATGTTCTGGAGGTGTGTTTCAGCTAATAATAATACAGTACCTGAAAGTTTACCTTTAATCGTTTTAACCTCTCTTCAAATACATTTATCAACTAAGTTAAGATACAATTGGGATGCTTTATTCAGGAAGTCAAAATAGACTGTTTTAAGAAAATTGTCTTAAGCTGAAACACCCAAATTCCCTACTTCCAAAAACTAACAATGGTAACAAAATTAGATTGCTTTCTAAGATAAAAGGTTAAATTTTCTTAGCGTAAAATAGGCAACAGGAGAAATTTTAAGTAGAATTCCTTTAGTAACTGCATTTCTATAGAAAATTTAATTAGTTGCATCTAAATTTCATTCTACACTAATAAAAATACTCTATTTTTATCTGAAAATTACATGACTCAAATGAACTCAAGGCCATTCACATAATTACTTTATAATTACTTGAGATGTATAGGGAACTCTGTATAATTATATTTACCTTAAGTTTACATAATCTGACACACACCCTTAGTTTCTTGGGGTAAATGTTAATTCTTTCCACAGAACAATGAAGTCCATGATTTTTCATGAGGATAAGCCTAATTTTCAGAAAAATATCATTGCCTAGCTTGAGTGCGCTGTCATCTTATAATTTTTATTGTTTTTCCTCTTTGTTAAACCTCCTGTTTCAAAACCTTGCATTTTTTGAAACAATGTTAAATTTTTAAGATTTCCATAGATTAACATGCATTTTGTGCTTTTTAAAAATGAAAGAATTTTATCGAAATAAAAAATTTAATAACTGCCATATATTTCACGTAACAGAAAAAAAAAATTTGACAACATAACTGCACTTACTGGGACAGTATAATTTATGTCAGTTAGTTCATGTCACTATATAATTTTAATATGCATAAGCATACTTTTCAAAAATACTGCACATTTTAATTTTAAATATTACTTTAGTTAAATTATTGTAATAACATGTTTACATTAGAATAGAGTTTCTACATACTGTATTATATCCTCCTAGAAACATATTTATATTGGAAATATTCAAAAAATATATACATGTAATACATTGTAAAATTTTTAAATGTACATTATACTGACTTTTTAAGTAAATGTAAATAAAAATATAAAATGCACAAACTGCAGTCAAATACGATATATCTGCCTCTCATATTAAATAGAAAATTGTTACTATTCTAATGGCATTATTTATCTTAGAAAAATGTTATTTGGGAAAATAATGTTAAATAAATTATAAAGAATCAAAATATCTAACCAAGTGAATACAAAACTGAAATAGTCACTTAGAAAGCAAACCAATTCTTTAGTTTTTTAAATTATGACAGTATTTTTTTGTTGTCAAAACTGAGAATGTTCTGCAAACATGTATTATCTTCAACAAATTTTTTATGAGAACCATCATGCAGAAGAAGGCAGTATTCATCTCTACTCAGACTGGGATATAAATCTCTTAGTGTAGATTCATGTTACATTGTATCAGTGTTTGCAAATATACATTTCATTGAACACTTAGTTCCACAAAATATCAGCAACAATTTTTGGGAAAACAAATCATATGGCCAAAAAACAAAACACTGAACAGCAACAACAAAACCCACAGGAAAGTCAGTGTAATTAAAGTCAAACAATCGATGTGCAAAGATCACAAGCATTCCTATACACCGATAACAGACAAACAGAAAGCCAAATCATAAACGAACTCTCATTCACAATTGCTACCAAGAGAATAAAATACCTAGGAATACAACTTACAGAGGACGTGAAGGACCTCTTCAAGGAGAATTACAAACCACTGCTCAAGGAAATAAGAGAGGACACAAACCAATGTAAAAACATTCCATGCTCATGGTAGCAAGAATCAATATTGTGAATATGGCCATACTCCCCAAAGTAATATAGATTCAATACCATCCCCATTAAGCTGCCATTGACTTTCTTCGCAGAATCGGAAAAAAATACTTTAAATTTCATATGGAACCAAAAAAGAGCCCACATAACCAAGACAATCATAAGCAAAAACAACAAAGCTGGAGGCATCACACTACCTGACTTCAAACTATACTACAAGGCTACAGTAACCAAAACAGCATGGTACTGGTACCAAAACAGATATATAGACCAATGGAACAGAACAGAGGCCTCAGAAATAACACCACACATCTACAACCATCTTATCTTTGACAAACCTGACAAAAACAAGCAATGGGAAAAAGATTCCCTATTTAATAAATGGTGTTGGGAAAACTGGCTAGCCATGTGCAAAAAGCTGAACCTGGATCCCTTCCTTATACCTTACACAAAAATTAACTCAAGATGATTAAACACGTAAATGTAAGACCTAAAACCATAAAAACCCTAGAAAAAAACCTAGGCAATACCATTCAGGATATAGGCATGGGCAAAGACTTCATGACTAAAACACAAGAGCGATGACAAAAAAAGCCAAAATTTCCAAATGAGATCTAATTAAACTAAAGAGCTTCTGCATAGCAAAAGAAACTATCATCAGAGTGAACAGGCAAACTACAGAATGGGAGAAAATTTTTGCAATCCATCTGACAAAGGGCTAATATTCAGAATCTACAAGGAACTTAAAACAAATTTACAAGAAAAACCAAACAGCTCCATCAAAAAGTGTGCAAAGGATATGAGAAGACACTTTTCAAAAGAAGACATTTATGCGGCCAAGAAACATATGAAACAAAGGTCTCCATCACTGGTCATTAGAGAAATGCAAATCGAAACCACAATGAGATACCATCTCAAGCCAGTTAGAATGGTGATCATCAAAAAGTCAGGAAAAAACAGATGCTGGAGAGAATATGGAGAAATAGGAACGCTTTTACATTGTTGGTGGGAGTGTAAATTGGTTAAACCATTATGAAAGACAGTGTGGCAATTCCTCATGGATCTGGAACCAGAAATATCATTTGACCCAGCAATCCCATTAATGGGTATATAACAAAAGGATTATAAATCATTCGACTATAAAGACACATGCACATGTATGTTTACTGCGGCACTATTCACAACAGCAAAGACTTGGAACCAACCTAAATGCCCATCAATGATAGACTGGATAAAGAAAATGGGGCACATATACACACCATGGAATACCATGCAGCCACAAAACAGGATGAGTTCATGTCCTTTGCAGGGACATAGATGAAGCTGGAAACCATCATTCTCAACAAACTAACACAAGAACAGAAAACCAAACACCGCATGTTGTCACTCATACGTGGGAGCTGAACAATGAGAACACATGGACACAGGGAGGGCAACATCAAACACTGGAGCCCATTGTGGGGTGGGGGACTAGGGGAGGGATAGCATTAGGAGAAATACCTAATGTAGATGACGGGTTGATAGGCACAGCAAACCACCATGGTACATGTAGACCTATGTAACAAACCGGCATGTTCTGCACATGTACCCCAGAACTTAAAGTATAATAAAATAAATAAAATAAAATAAAGTAAAAGTCAAACAAGTTTACTTGTTAAAGCCTTTACTTTGTACAGAATAATGTCAAGGTGGAGAAACATTTTATAATGACTCCCAGTTATTTAAGCAGAGAAATATTTTTAACACAGAATATCATACTGAACTGTATGTTGTGGAATGCTGCTCCAGGTTTTTAAGCAGTGTACAATACTGTTACTTGAGATTTGACTGTATAAGTCACCCCACACTATTTTGCAAAGATGTGCTTCAAAGACTCCTATCCAAAACATACTTGGATAACTTGACACTTACGAAAAATAAAAACTTCCTAATTTACCCTAAGAATTTTCCATTTGTTGAATGGAGCCTGTCATATTGAATTATAATTCTCCCATCTTGCTACCTTTGAGACTCATAAGTTCTGTTTTCCTATAAATATGTGACAGAAATGTTATTTGTGACAGGTATATAAAATTATATGTTACATACAAATTGTGTAAGAACCGGATCATCATTTTCCCTTTTACAAGAGTTCAGATGACATCTGTGCTCAAGCTACAGAAAGACTCTAGAAAAGTGTGATTTTTTATATTTAGTAATAACGTATAGAACTAGCAATGATACAATCTTATATAATTTCATAATGCTTTTCTTATATAGGACCTTTAAAAAGTTATTTGTTCTTAGAGCACCTTTTTATTTAATTTATCTTTTTGAAATTTAGACCTTGAATAACTGTAAAAGGTTTATGGGTATAAATATACATGTTTTTTTAAAAAACATTCTCCTGTTAAAAGTAAATGAGATTCCATGCTATTCCTATCAAACTAACAAAGACATTCTTCACAGAATTAGAAAAAGTAACTATCCTAAAATTCATATGGAACCAAAAAGGAGCCCACATAGCCAAAGCAATCCTAAGGAAAAAGAACAAAACTGGAGACTTTATATTCCCCAACTTCAAAATTCTCTACAAAGTTGCAGAGAAAAGGCAATGCTTATACAGTGCTTATGGGAATGTAAATTAGTTCAGCCACTGTGGAAAGTGGTCTGGAGATTTCTCAAAGAACTAAAAACAACTACCATTTAACACAGCAATCCCATTACTGGGTATATACCAAAAGGAATATAATTCATTCTACATAAAGACACATTTGTGCATATGTTTATCACAGCCCTATTCATAATAGCAAAGACATGAAATCAACCTAAATGCCCATCAATGGCAGATTGGTTAAGAAAATGCAGAACATATATGCCATAGAATACTATGCAGCAATAAAAAGGAATGAAATTATGTCCTCTCTGGGAACGTGGATGGATCTGGAAGCCATTATCCTTAGCAAACAAAGGAACAGAAAATCAAAACAAACATATTGTCACATGTATGTGGGAGCTAAACTTTGAGCACACATGCACACAAAGGCAATGTCTATGGAACAATAGACAATGGCACCTACTTGAGGGTGGAGGTTGGAAGGAGAATTAGAATCCAAAAACTCCCTGTCTGGTACTATGGTTATTACCTGAATGATGAAATAATCTGTATACCAAACCCCTGTTATATGTAATTTAACTATATAACAAACCTGCTCATGGACCTCTGATACTAAAATAAAAGTTAAAAAAAAACTGAGCAAAACAAAAAAACTAAATGAGGATAAATCCAATGTTAAATATAGAAAAGGCAGTTAGATAATTTACTACTTGTTGATTCAAATTCGAAGCATTCAAAGGTGCTTTTTCATTTGCAAGCATTAATAACATAGTCTTATTTCTTCTAAATCATACCCAATAAATTGGAATGCATGATATCCTTGGAAGAGTGATACCAATATTAGTTTTATTTAGCAAAAAATGTTAATAAAAAAAATTTACATTATTATTATTCCAGGCAAGAAGTACCTCAAAGAAATCATGCAGAAGGGAAAAACACATGTTCAAAGTCTAAGAAAAGCCCAGAACAATTATGAAATGTAAATAATTGTTCCATTCCTCATTTTTTGTAATTGTAAAATTGTTCCATTCCTTTGAATCACAATTAAAAGGGGGAAAACTCAATCCAATAATCCAAGAAGGAGGTAAGACATATTGTCAATATATGTGTATGCGTTCGGACAAATATTGAGAAATTTATATGATAGAGATATGTATTATAAAAATACCAAAAATCAGAAATACAATACAGATTGATTTAAAATTAAAAACATCAACGCCCTTCAACATATATAGGGTAAAGTTCTCTTAACTATTACTACAGGGCATATTTTAATAAACAAAAGCCAGGGACTGTGTACCTGATGTCAAAAATATGGAAAACTATTTATCTTTGTGAAAAACAATTTATGTAATATAGAATCCTTCTGTGCAACAAACTTCAGTTTATAGATACATATAGTGTTGCCTCATTGGAGAATGCCTGGCTATATTCTCAGAAAAATTCCCTCTTTTTGTACACGTACTGATGTTCTTTTCCTTTAGAACGCTCCTCCTTTCCTCTCCTTTGATCTTTTCTGCCAAATATCTTTCCAGTTTTTTGTTGCGGGTTCAATGGTAGCTGAATGCTTTGAAAACCTCTACTTAATGTATTCTTAAAGATTCAATAAAGATTGGTATACAGATAATCTATTTATCGCAACTGAATAGATGAATTATTTTGTATTATCTAATGCCCAGATAACTACAAGCAGCTACACTGGTAACCCCATACCATGTGTACAGTTTTCCATTCAGCATGTTTTAGTGACTTTGATGTTAAGCCCCATGAGTCCAAACACTGACTCCTCGAAAAACAACCCAGGAACAACAACCCAGCAGTTTGTTTCTCCTTTACCTTAAGACTTCGGGGTCCTTCACTGACAACATAAGCCTCACATGTAGGATTGTTTTTCAGTGGTGCACCTAATCAATGCTTTTTTTTTTTTTTTTTTTTTTTTTGAGACACAGTCTCGCTCTGTCGTCCAGGCTGGAGTGCAGTGGCGCGAAATTGGCTCACTGCAAGCTCCGCCTCCTGGGTTCACGCCATTCTCCTACCTCAGCCTCCCAAGTAGCTGGGACTACAGGCGCCCACCACCGCGCCTGGCTAATTTTTAGTATTTTTAGTAGAGACGGGGTTTCACCGTGTTAGCCAGGACAGTCTCAGTCTCCTGACCTCGTGATCCGCCCGCCTCGGTCTCCCAAAGTTCTGGGATTACAGAAGTGAGCCACCGCGCCTGGCCGCACCTAATCAATTTTAATAATATTTAAGGAGCCCATAAATCTGAATAAAAATTGTATCATGAAAGTTCCCCTTCACAGTGGCTTAAATTTTTGTAGTTAAGGAGAACTTAGAGACATCTATCTAAAAAAAACTCCTATTTCTAAAATATTGATATAATTATTCATAATTTAACTATACATTATGTAAACATAAACTAAAATATGTATTTTTGAATATACTTATCATTTATATATCAATGGACATTTAAGTTATTTCTATATTTTGTGTATTGTGATTAGTACTGCAATGAACATGGGAATATTAATATCTCTTCAGGATTCTGATTTCTATTATTTTGGATATATACTCAGATGTAAGATTGCTGGATTATATGGTTGTTCTATTTTTAAGTGTTTGAAGAATCTCCATACTGCTTTTCATGTCAGTTGCACCATTTCACCATTTTACATTCTCACCACCAGCGTACAAGTGTTCCAATTTCTTCACATTCTCCCTAGCACGTTAACTTCCTTCTTCCTTTTTTCCTTCCTTCCTTCCTTGTCTTCTTCCTTTTTGATCACTGTAAGATGTGTGTCAGGTGCTACTGGAATTTTTAATTTGCATTTTTCTGATGATTCACTAATCATTTTTGCCATCTTTTTAACCCAATGGCCATTCAAAAGTTTTCCTAAGAATGTCTATTCAGGTCCTTTTGCTATTTTATTTTGCCATTGAGCTGTAGAAATTCTTTATACATTTTAGATATTAACCCCTTTTGGATATGTAGCTAGCATATATTATTTCTCATCCAGTAAGTTGCCTTTCACTCTGCGGACCTTTTTCTTTGGTATGCAAAAGTTTTTAGTTTGATGTAGTTCCACTTGTCTGTATTTGCTTTTGTTGCTTGTGCTTTTGGTGTCATATCCAAGAAAACATTCCCTAGACAAATGTCATAAAGCTTTTCCCTTATATTTTCTTTTACAAGTTTAATGGATTCAGATCTTACATTCAAATCTCCATTTGAGTTGATGTTTGTATATAAGGGTTGAATTTGTTGTTGTTGTTGTTGTTGTTGTTTGTGAATCCTCAGCTTTTCCAATGTCATTTGTTGAGGAGACTACTCTTTCTCTATTGTGTATTCTTGGCATCTTTGTTGAAGGCCAGCTAACTATATAGGTGTGGATTTATTTCCGGGCTCTCTCTTCTGTCCTATTGGTTTATATGTCTGTCTTTATGCCAGTATCATTCTGTTTTAATTTTTGTTGCTTTGTAATGTATTTTGAAATTAAGAAGTATAATGCCTCCAGCTTTGCTTTTCTTTCTCAAAACTTCTTTGGCTGTTCATGGCATTTTGCGGGAGGGGAGGAGGTTCCATGTGAATTTTACAATTACTTTTCAAATTATGTAAAAAAAAAAAAGTCATTGAGATTTTTGATAGGGATTGCAGTAAATCCGTAGACTGATTAGGAAAGTCTGAACGTTTTATCACTATTAAGTGTTCAATCTATGAACATAATGGTTTTTTTATCTATTTGTATTTCTTTAATGTCTTTCATAATTGATTTGTAGTTTTAAGTGTACAAGCTTTTCATATCACTGACTAATGTTAAGTCTAAGTATTTTATTCCATATTAAGCGGGATTGTTTTAATTTTCTTTTCAGATAGTTTGATGTTAATGTATAGAAACACAACTTGATTTTTGTGTGTTGATTTTGCATCTTCTAACTTTGCTAATTCATATAGTAGCCCTAACAATTTGCATTTGCTGTTGTTTTTGTTTGTGGGGTCTTTAATGTTTTCTACATACGAGATTATGTCATCTTTTATGCTTTATTTTCATTTTATGCGACTCTGACTGGGATTATTTCAAATGTTCTACCTTTTGCTAAATAAAATCTGTTATTGAAGTCTTTCAGTAAGTTTTTCAGTTTAGTTACTGTATTCTTCAGTTCCAGAATTTCACCTTTTTTAAATAGTTTTAATCACTTTGTCCCTATTCTAATTGTGTTCATGTATTGTGTTCTTGATTTCATTTAGTTATTTATGTGTATTCTCTAGCAGCTCATTGAAATTCTTTATAAGTATATTGAAAACTTGTTTAGGCAATTCATAAATCTCTATTGCTTTGAATCTGTTATATAATATTTATGTTGTTCTCTTCATTCGGTCATGTTTAACTGATTATGTTTCTTGCATATTTTGCCATCTCGGCATTTGAAGAAACAAGTAACTCTCTGTTACATTTACCAACTGGCTTTGACACAGATAGAGTTTTGCCAAACACTCTAATTTGAGATTCTGGGAAGCTCTCAAATATTTTATACAGATGTTTCTTCTCTGGACTTATGCATGTCATTTTAAGATGAGATTTATTGGTTTTCCTTTTTTTTTTTTTTTCATGAGTCCATAATCTCTTGCTCTCTGGCTGTTGTAACGCAGATGTTGATGTACTGCAGACTGTGATGCTAATGGCACAGTCTACTTCTCTTCCTCCTTCCCTATGGAGATGCTTTGAGTTTTCTAGCTTATCCCAATCTCATTGAGATGCGCCGGGTACTTCAAGCCACCTGCTCATTTTCCTTTCCTGTTAGCTGACCCTCCAAACTGTGGGAATTTCTTCAGTGCTACAAGTGAGGCAGGACAGAAACCAGTTCCTTGGGCAGCACAATAAAAGGTCAGGGATGTTGAAGGTATCCTCCACTCCTCTGCTTCCGTGCTGTTGAAGCTGCAGGTTCTATGCTTTCTCTGAATCCTTAGAGCCATGTCAGGCCAAAGAACGCCGCTTTTTTTCATTTTTTAAATTTTTTTACTACACCCAGGCATCTGATATATGCCAGTTCCATCAGCATGTTGTGTGAAGGAGCCACTTTCTTATTTAATTTCAGTATATTTCCTATATTTTCAATCCTTCTTCACCTTCCGGTAGCAAATTATAGCTGGCAAAGTTTCTTTAGAGTATGAGAGTAAAATATATTAAAATGCTTTTAATAACATCTATAATGATTTCCCATAGTCTTGCAAAATTATTAATTCTGGATTCCAAAACATTTTTTAAAGTTAGCTATTATACTTTTTCTTGTGCTAGACTAGGGTAGAATGGAAAGAAAAGTGACACCTGTCTTCCTGAAGTTTACAGTGTAGTTAAAAGAGAAAAAAAATCACATAGTTATATTGCATTATGTTATATGTTATCATTTTTGAAAATTAGATATAATTCTTGATGTTTAAAGTCCCTTTTTGTTTATCTTAGCTACTGCCAAATATAATTTACATAAATTATACAAAAATATTTCAAGTAAAGATACATCTCAAATATGTCATCTTTACTATAAAACTAACTGATGAAGACAGACTTCTGAGTGAAATACAGTAAGACATCTTTAATTAAAATAATAAATAGAAGAATGCTCTGTACCAGAAAGCTGCCCTAGAATATTTTCATGGTCAAGTGATCTTTAGAAATTTTATTTCTAAGAATGAAATAAATATTTAATTCACCTATAAATTTATACCACAGTATTATCCTCTTTCTAACTACAAACCAAGAGCTTCATTACTGAGTTTCCCTTGTTCAGAAAAAAGAATGTTCACGATTATTGCAGCAATAACTACAAGTAAATATATCATGAACAAAGAAGAGGAAAACCAGTGACAAGAAAAATATATAATATCATACATTTCCCAAGAAGCTAAAGAACAGTGTGGCTCATGAGAAAAGTGGTATATATTCTGTATGCACAGGGTCTGACAGGACAACTTACATTTACTTTTTTTTTCTATTTATATTGGGAATAGCCACAATTTTTCTAGCCAATAGAAAAATTGTCAATATTATTTATTTTCCTTAAAAAAATGGCATAAATTACCAAAAATCTCAGGAGAAATAATCAGCCTAAAAATCTTGTGACCCCTGCTCTATTCATGTTAATACAACAATGACAAGAATGATACCAGTAATATTAACAATACTCAATTACTGTTTACATAATGTCTACTACAAGTTAACCATTTAAAAATAATTTTGTAGGATACAAACAATAAGCCGGCAAAACAGGTATCATTGCTTCTATTTTACAAATAAGGAAAAGTACACCTTAGAAGAAGCAGCAACACTGTGAACACAAGCTAGTTTTACTAGCTGATTCATAGTTCAACTAGGTAATTCGTATTCCAACTTTATTTTTAAAAATTACTTTCAAAGCATAAACAATAGGTTTGTGCAAAGGAGGTCAGAAGTCAAGAAATTTGTCAAATAAATAAAACTTTATTTTTTTCTATTTATATTAGGGCTATACATGGTAATGGTCAATTGCCATGTTTTCTGTCTACTCAACATCTTTCTAATACATTTTCTATTTTGGAGATTTCCCTAATTTATAATTCCTGAAGGTGACACAGACCTTGTGGATTAGATACACCCATACAAAACTGATTGGTAAGTGAGTGTCCACATGGAATTCGTTTTTGGGCAAATGTGATCATACAGTCATCAAAACTTTGGCAGTAGTCATAGTATCCTATGCCCAGCGTCAGCAATGTAACTTTTGGTATCTTTGCCCAGGCGTGGTAGTGGTGAAGTCTTCATTCTGAAAGCCAAGGGTTGCCAAATCATCTTTAATAAATTCTATCATGAACTAAATGAGATGCTGTTTTTTTTGTTGTCGTTGCTATTTGCTCACTTGTTTTTAATTCAGAACTTTACTTCCTGAATTTTTAATTTAGGAAATTCAAAATATTTAATATGTAAAAAATGAAAAAATCCTAAAATCTTTTCACCTAGAGGTTCCAACTTTTAGTATTTTAATTACTATCTTTTCATATATTTTATATGCATTGAAAGATTATTGTACACATACACAAGTATGTATATATGTACTTCATAAAACAGGGACTATTAAAATTCTTGTTAAAGTGGAATGATGATTAGAGCATAGGCTAAGTGCCTCCACATTTAAATCAAAGTGTTCGAACTAGAAACAACAACAGGGATGTTATCACTGACCCAACGGAAATACAAATAACCATCAGAGACTACTATGAAAACCTCTATCCAAACAAATTAGAAAATCTGGAAAAGATGAATACATTTCTAAACATATACATCCTCCTAAGACTTAACCAGGAAGAAATTCATTCCCTGAACAAACCAGTAACAAGCTCTGAAACTGAATCAGTAATAAATAGCCTACCAACTGAAGAAAAACCCAGGCCCAGATGAATTTACAGCTGAATTCCATCACGTGTACAAAGAAGAGATGGCATGATTCCTATGGAAACTATTCCAAAAAATTAAAGAGGGGGGCTCCTCCCCAGTTCATTCTATAAGGCCATCATCATCCTGATACCAAAACCTGTCACAGACACAACAATAACAACAAAAAAAATTCAGGCCAATATCCTTGGTGAACATTAATGAAAATGTTCTCAACAAAATACTTGCGAATGACATACAGCAGCACATCAAAAAGCTAATCCACCATGATCAAGTAGGCTGTATCCCCAGGATGCAAGGTTGGTTCAAGAAACGCAAATCAATAAATGTAATTCATCACATAAACAAAACTAAATACAAAAATCACAGGATTATTACAATAGATGCATAGAAGGCTACTGATTAAATTCAACATATTTTCATGTTAAAAACTCACAATAAACTAGGTATGGAAGGAACACACCTCAAAATATTAAGAGCCATGTATGACAAACATACAGCCAACATCATACTGAATGGGCAAAACCTGGAAGCATTTTCCCTGAAAACCAGCAAAAGATAAGCATGTTCTCTCTCACCATTCACATTAAACAGAGTATTGAAAGTCCTGGCCAGAGCAATGACGCAAGAGAATGAAATAAAGTGCATCAAATAGGAAGAGAGGAAGTCAAACTCTCCCTGTTTGCAGATTACATGATTCTATGTCTAGAAAATCAGATAGTCTTGGCCCAAAAGCTCTTTAAACTGATAAACAACTTCAGCAAAGTTTCAAGAGAAAAACATCAATGTACAAAAATTTTCAGCATTACTATACAACAACAACAGTCAAGCCAAGAGCCAAAACAGGAATGGAATCCCATTCACAACTGCCACAAAAAGAATAAAATACCTAAGAATACAACTCACCTGGGAGGTGAGAGATCTGTATAATGAGAACTACAAAACACTGCTGAAAAAAAATCAGATGACACAAATGAAAAAACATCCTATTCTTATGGATAGGAAAAATCAATATCATTAAAATGGCCATACTGCCCCTAGCAATTTATAGATTAAATGTTATTCCTATCAATCTGTCAATGACATTCTTCAGAGAATTAGAAAAAGTATTTTAAAATTCATAAGAAATTTTTTTACAACACTAGCATTAAGTAGAGACAGAAGGAGGCACATTAACAGATTAAATGTAAGATAGCAGAGAAAAAGAAAGCTAGAGTTTAGCAATAATAATTGCTATTAATGTCAGCTTGTTATGAGTTCTTAACCTAATTTATGAATTGTGTTAAACTCCTTAAGTTCAATATCATTATTTTTACAAGGGTATATTACCCACATTTTATACATGAGGAGATAAGAGGAATTATGAAACTTACCCAATATTACACATCTGAAAGCAGCAGGGAAGATTCAAACCCTAACATTCTTGCTCAAGAGCCAAGGAGCTTTAGACTGCCTCTACCTACACAACAGAAGCCACTTGCACCACAAAAGGCCCAGGCTAATCAGGGCAGAACAAAGAGTGTGTTATGGTGTTTACCCCATATTTGGTTTAAATGTCTGTTCTTGGCACTCTACTTCACCATATTATAGGGAAAGTTGTGTGTCTTCATCTCTACATCCCCAGTCTAGTCAAGTACCTATAGCATAGTACATATCAACTGAATGAGCTAATAAATAAATGTTCTAATAGCCTATATTCTCACACATATATTACTTTGAATGAGTAATTTTGTAGTATAGAAAAAAATCCTAAGATTAACAACAATAGCAGATACCAAATTGCAATGTTATTTTTAAATTTTAGGTTTAAGAATAAAATTTATTTATAATTCTTATTAAATTTAAAATAGAATTCTTTGAGCAATGGTTTGTAATTCTCCTTGCAGAGACCTTTCACCTCCTTAGTTAGCTGTACTCCTACATATTTTTTCTTTTTGTGTCAACTGTGAATGAAAGTTTATTCCTTATTTGACTCTTGGCTTGGCGTATAGGACTCTTAGTGATTTTTGCACATTGATTTCATATCCTGAGACTTTGTTGAAGTTGTTTATCAACTTAAGGAGCTTTTCGGCCAAGAATATGGGGTTTTCTAGATGTAGGATCATGTCATCTGCAAACACGGATAATTTGATTTCCTGTCTTCCTATGTGGATGCCCTTTATTTCTTTCTCTTGCCTGATTGCTCGGCCAGGACTATCAATACTATGTTAAATAGGAGTGGTGAGAGAGGACATCCTTATTTTGTGTCATTTTTCAAGGGACAGAGCTTTTGCCCATTCAGTATGATGTTGACTGTCGGTTTATCATAGATGGCTCTTATTATTTTGAGGTAGGTTCCTTCAATATCTAGTTTATTGAGAGTTTTTAACCTGAATGGTTGTTGAATTTTATTGAAATCCCTTTCTGTAACTATTGAGGTAATCATGTGGCTTTTGTCCTCAGTTCTATTTACGTGATGAATCACACTTATTAATTTGCATGTTGTGAGCCAAACTTACATCGTGGGGATGAAGTCTACTTGATCATAGTGGATTAGCTTTTTGAAGTGCTGCTGGCTTTGGTTTGCTAGTATTTCGTTGATGATTTTTTGCATTCGTGTTTATTAAGGATATTGGCCTGAGGTTTTCTGTTTTTGTTCTATCTGCCAGGTTTTGGTATCAGGATTATGCTGGCCTCATAGAATGAGGTAGAGAAGAGTCTCTCCCCCTCCATTTCCTGGAATAGTTTCAGTAGGAATGGTACCAGCTGCTCTTTGTACATCTGGTAGAATTCAGCTGTGAATGTATCTGCAAATAATTCAGAGGTAACACAAACAATTGGAAAAGCATTCCATGCTCATGTATAGGAAGAATCAATATCATTAAAATGGTCACACTGTTTAGTGCAATTTGTAGATTCAATGCTGTTCCTATCCAGCTATCAATGACACTCTTCACAGAACTAGAAAAAACTATTTTGAAATTCATATGGAAACAAACAAACAAACAAAAAAGAGCCCGAATAGCCAAAGCAATCCTAGCAAAACTGGAGACATCACATCACCTGACTTCAAACTATACTACAGGGCTACAGTAACCAAAACAGTATGTTACTAGTACAAAAACAGAAGAATAGACCAATGAAATAGAATAGAAAGCCCAGAAACGGCCACACGCTTATAGTCATCTGATCTTCGGCACAGCTGACAAAAACAAGCAATGAAGAAAACACTCCCCATTCAATAAATGATGCTGGGGTAACTGACTAGCCATATGCAGAAGATTGAAACTGGGCCCCTTCCTTACACCATATAAAAAAATCAACTCAAGATGGATTAAAGACATAACTGTGAAACCCCAAACTATAAAAACTTTGGAAGACAGCCTAGGCAATACCATTCTGGACACAGAAACTGGCAAAGATTTCATGGCAAATACGCCGAAAGCAATTACAACAAAAGCAAATTGATAGATGGGTTCTAATTAAACTTAAGAGCTTCTGCACAGTAAAAGATACTATCAGCAGAGTAAACAGACAATCCACAGAATGGGAGAAAACATTTGCAAACTATGCCTCTGACAATGGTCTAATATCCTGCCATCTATAAGGAACTTAAACAAATTTATATGAAAACAAACAAACAACCCCATTAAAAAGTGGGCAAAGAACATGAGTAGACACTTTTCAAAAGAAGACATACATGTAGCCAACAATGCATATGGAAGAAATATCAATATCACTTATCATTAGTGAAATGCAAAACAAAACTACAATGAGATACCATCTTACACCAGTCAGAATGTCTATCATTAACAAGTCAAAGCATAACAGATGCTGGCAAGGTTGCACAGAAAAGGCAATGCTTATATACCATTGTTTGGATAATAAATTAGTCCAACCATTGTGAAAAACAGTCTGACAATTTCTCAAAGACCTAAAAACAGAACTACCATTCCACCCAGCAGTCTTGCTACTGGCTATATACCCAAAAGAATATAAGTCATTCTACCATAAAGATGCATGTATGTGTATGTTCATTGCAGCACTACTCAAAATTGCAAATACGTGGAATCAACCTAAATGCCCATCAATGACAGATTGCATAAAGAAAATGTGGTATATATACACCATGGAATACTATGCAGCCATAAAAAGGAACGAGATCATGTCCTTTGTGGAAACATGGATGTAGCTGCAGGCCATTATCCTTTGCAAACTAACACAGGAATAGAAAACCGAATACTGCTTCTTCTCACTTATAAATGGGAGCTAAATGTTGAAAACACAAGGACACAAAGAGGTAACAACAGACACACCGTGGCCTATTTGAGGGTGGAGGTTGGGAGGAGGGAGACGATTAAAAAAATAAAAAACTATTGGGTGCTAGGCTTACTACTCGGTGATGAAATAATCTGTACGACAAATCCCAAGGACATGAATTTGCATACATAAAAAACCTGCACATGTCCCCCTGAACCTAAAAAAAAAAAAGTTAAAAAAATAAAAAATACATCAAAATGTTCTATAATGGTATACATGATAAAAGATAGCTGTATTGTCATTCGTGGGCCTACCCACTCGACGACAAAACACTCATTTTCCCAACTTCTGACTTTTAGCAGCTAGAGTGCCTCCCACACAACTTGTTCTTAGCTAAAGAGAGCTACCACTTCCAATGTCACACCGCCCCTTCCAAGGGGCGGTGTACATCCATTAACTGAATGATAAAGAACTTAAAAGGACCAGCCTTCTTTAATCAAATTAGGAAAACTCTAAAAGGCCTTCCCAGCCTCAGAGCTTTCCACAAGAGCTGTTAAGGCCTTTACAGACACTGTATCACAGCTAGACCTCTCTCTTTCCCAAATCCTGCTTTCTTCACTTCATCACTTAAGTTAAAAGCAATTCCAATCAGTTAGCATACTACTCTTCATCTCAGAGCCTGCTTTCCAGGAAATTCAATCCACAACAACAGCTAACTGGCTCTGAAAATGAAAGGGAAGATGAAACAATTGAATCAGGGGTCTAAGATGGAGATGACTGTAGAATGTCTAAGGTATAATATGAACAGTACTGCAGTATTTCTGTTGTCCTCTTTATGAAAAAAAGGGAGAATAGTTATTCTCCTAATCTCCTTTTAAGCCAAGCAAAAAGGCTCCAAATGAAAAACAAAACATAGGGCTTGAGAAATTGAGTGTGCCTTCAAACTAAATAAAGCTTCCTCCTTGACCCAAGCCTGTCTGGAGCTATACTGAACAGAGGAATGAGACAAGAGTATAGGAGTGGTAGCAAAGTGGGCCAAGGGCTCATGAATTCCCATCGACCAGAAGAAAGCAGTCAGATATGGCTAAGTCATCCAGGAAGAACCCTACCTGCTGGAACAAGTAGATACTAGAAGTCAAGAGTTATGCTATACTGTTAAACAGCATTTAAAGAAAAACAAAAAAAAGATGACATCATGACTCTCTTACAAAACAAACACATAATCAAAGTTTTTATCTCATTTGCTCATGATAGAATCAGTAAAAGGTCATGAAAGGAATCCAAAGGACAGACAAATATAAAAGCCCACCAGGAACGTTGAAATTATAATTTGCGTAATAGATGCAAATTATACTGTAGAATGTCTAAGGTATAATATGAACAGTACTGCAGTATTTCTGTTGTCCTCTTTATGAAAAAATGGATTCTTGCCAGTTTTGCATCTATTACGCAAATGCAAAGCTGGCAAGAATCCATAGAGCAATAATCAATTGCATTCTACCAGACACAATTTCCATTACTGTAGAAATGAATCACATGCTTTCCTACCCGTTTTCTACAACATACAAAGCTATAAATTAGTGGAAAGGTAACTCAGACAGGTGACCTATGCAGACACTAATATCCTGACATCACCAAAGGACAGAAGCTGAAAGATGTCTCCAAACAGCAGGAGAAGAGGGCATGGATCATGTCAAGGATATGGTTTACCAGGTGATGGTCCGTAACTATCCTACTAAGTAGCCCATAAATGATTGATCATTCTGGATGCTTGCCGTGATGAGAAGTATTTTTCAGTTGCTCTAGAGCAAGAAACAACACTAACTGAGTATAAAGGTCAATGTCCTCTTAACTCTCATTCACATCCCACAAGACCTGCCTCTGTCCTGGAGAAGCCACAGGCAAAACGATGGGCAGGGGAGGAGAGAAAAAGGCTGTACAATACGGAGTTCAGGGCGGCCTGAATGCCGTGGGGTGGAAAGGGAGTCATTTTAAGCTAAATGTGAGATTCACATTTTTGTATAAACTTGGCTGAACGTTGAAACTTGAAAATGAGATAACTGAAGGCCTAAAATTCACCAAGAAGCTGTACTGTACCGGTCACTCCGTTTGCACATCTAATGCATTTTTTGCACTTTTCTTCCTGCTCCTTGCCCAGAAGAGTGAACTCCACACACTGCATGACCTGGGCTCCCATGTCTTCAGCTTCTGATTATACCCAGCCAATGAGGTAGCAGCAGAGCAGTAGAGACAGGGAGGAAAGGACAGTCAAGGTATTTATTTCACCTAAACTTATACCACGGGTATAGCTGGCTAGTGCCTGTGTTTCTTACCCATGGGGACCATCCCTGTGGGGTCCCCCAGCTACAGTTTCAGCTCTCTAACCCTACCTCTGCAGGGCTACAGCGCATTAGCTCCCACTGTCGGGAGTCCCTGGGTGCTTCAGGATTTCTTCTCAGTTTCCTTGATCTTACCATTATCTCTGTAAACACCACCTTATTAAACTCCTTTATATTTCAATGCTGACTGCGCCATCTGTTTCCTGATGTGACCCAGACTGATGCATATGGGATTTGTCAAAAATATCATCCAAAGCCAATGAGGATCTGATAGACTGTGATTGAAGCACTGGTCTGAGAAAAACAAAGCAGCTTTCTTTATGAATTTTACTAGGTCAAGCTTGCTCAATGGAAAAGATTATGTATGTACATATGCACATACACATATGTATTAACTTATTTAAATATACATACATAGTTCATCTATTATAAACTGTATAATATAAACTAGTAATATTAATATATTTAAATAGTTATGAAATATAATACATTATCTCACAAATATTACATTACAGCCCTGATGGGGTGGCTCACACCTGTAATCCCAGCACTTTGGGAAGCCAAGGCAGGCGGATCGCTTGAGGTCAGGAGCTCGAGACCAGCCTGGCCAACATGGCGAAAACCCCTCTCTACTAAAAATACAAAAATC
The DNA here is from genome assembly GCF_000001405.40 of Homo sapiens. Classification (NCBI taxonomy): domain Eukaryota; kingdom Metazoa; phylum Chordata; class Mammalia; order Primates; family Hominidae; genus Homo; species Homo sapiens. Next base: position 14,058,100 of record NC_000008.11, on the reverse strand, counting down.
AGTGGGGCTTGATGGTGTGTGCCTGCAGTCCCAGCTACTTGGGAGGCTGAAGCATGAGAATCACTTCATCCCAGGAGGTTGAGGTTGCAGTGATCTAAGATTGCGCCACTGCACTCCAGACTGGATGACAGATTGAGACCGTGTTTCAAAAAAAAAAAAAAAAATTATGGTACAGTCTAAACCCTTGTTAGCAGTGTTTCCCACTTACAAATGTGTGATTTGTAAGGGATCATAGTGTTTGCTTATCTTGATACACAACAATTAATGTAATCAAATTCTCTAATGTGATTATTTAAGCTCTTTCCAATTTGCGGCTGGTATAAACACTGATTTGATGAAAGTTTTTAATACATTTAACCTTACACTTAATTTTACCAAACAATTATATACTGCAGTCAGAGTATATTTTTGAAACACCGACTATACTAATTTAAACCTCCTCAGTGAATATATGAGTGCTGTTTTCTCCATATCCCCAAGCAGTGCTATAATTGCATAAGTATCACCAATTGAATGTTTACCATATAAGTTGTATTTCAAGCTTTATAAAACTACCTTTTTAACTATCATATTTTAAATAACTAATCTTGTTTAATCTGATAAATCCTGATTTTTATCCAATCTAGTAGGCATAATATTAACACCTCAGTTTTTATTCGCAATTACTAGAAGACCAGTTATTTGAGTATTAACAGCTCTTTAATAGTAACTTGTTTGTATGCATTATTAACATTTCTATTAATATGTAATTATTTTCTTGTGGTTTCTAAATTTTTTATTTAATGAAAATAGAAATGCTTTGTGTGCCACATTTGTTTCAAAGACATGTCTTATCTTTTTCTTAGATTTCTCTTTACTTTCATTGTTGTATTCATATCTTACAGTGCTTTGCCACACGAAATGTTTCCCTTAGGTATTCAAATGTAATCACGATTTATTTATGACCTGCAAGTTACATAAAATTTTTTGTTTTTTGGGTTTTTTTCTTTCTTTTTTTTTTTTTTTTTTTTTTTTTGAGATAGAGCCTCGCTCTTTCACTAAGTCTGGAGTGCAGTGGCACAATCTGGGCTCACTGCAACCTGCACCTCCCGGGTACAAGCAATTCTCCTGCCTCAGCCTCCCAAGTAACAGGATTACAGGCACTTGCCATCACGCCTGGCTAATTTTTGTATTTTTAGTAGAGATGGGGTTTCACCATGTTGTCCAGGCTGGTCTTGAACTCCCAGACTCAGGTGATCCAGGTGCCTTGCCCTCACAAAGTGCTAGAATTATAGGCATGAACCACTGTGCCTGGCCAGTTACATTAAAATTTAATAAACATTTTTGAACCCCAAAGATTACAAAAATATTCACCTATATCTTCCTTCAGCATCTTCATAATGGGTTTTATTACTGTTAAATGGTAAAATGATTTTACCATTAAATCTTTTATTCATCTGTTTACTTAACTTGGCTTTGGAATGTTTTATTTTTCCCCAAGTATCTAGCTCGATATTTTATCACTATTGATGCAATTGTCTTGAACCAAAAATGACAACCACAGGCATTGATATCATTTTAAAGCCTTATGTACTAATGCAGTTTGAGAGACTAGAGTAGAATGTGGTGTCTAACATGGGACAGTAACTCGTAGGTAGCTACCACTCCTATGCAGATTCCCAGAATTGTCACATTCTCCAGCCATCACATGATTAAGCTTAAGATGTATAATAAATATAAGTTGTAGATAACAGCTCTTGCAAATATGTCTTAAAATTAAAACTGAAAACTGTGTGTAGGGGGGAAACTCTGATAAAAAGGTGAAAGGCAAGCCAAAGTCTGGGCATCATGGAAAAAGTCCGACCTTTATAAATGTCTTAGAACTGATTATATTATGGAAACTATAATGTACCTCTTCACATCCATCAAATAGAGAAACAAATAGAAAATATCTAACAATACACAGGTTTGGAAAGGATGTGGGAAATTGCAAGTTGTTAAACTCTACTGAGAAGTTGATAACTGATACAAACATGCTGGAGAGAAATTTGCTAATACCAAGTAAAGTTATAGTCATATATCCCCAAGGATCCAGTGATTCTAATTCTAGGATGTATTGGTGCCATCAAAGTGTGTCCTGGAAAAGAGGGCTTAGGCAAGGAGTAAGTGAGGGGCCCAACTCATTTTTTTCTGTGTCCATCAAGTCATGTACACTGATATGGGGTTTTATATACCCAATATGGGTACCTATCATTTCTCATAAAAATGCCTCATGAGCTAGCTCTGGCTAGGTTGTCCCCAAGTAGAAACTATCATGTGTGCACAAGATAGTAGATAGTCATTGGATACAGAAATATATAAATGCATATATAAATACACACATACACAAACATAAATGAACAAAATCTGCATTAATAATAAATCTAAAACACATAATGCTGAGTTAAAGAGAAAATACAGAACAAAACAGCATCACACCATTTATGAACATAAAACATACATAAACAATAATAAATTTGCTTTGGAAAAGTGCACACGTATGCTGTCTTGGGCATATGCATATCTCACAAAAATCACACGAGAAGTGAATGACAAAGATACACATCAACTTCAGGATCCTGAGGTGGGGAGTGAGAGAAAGGAAACAGTAATGGAGAGCTGGGGCTAGATGGAACAGCAATTCCTTATTGCAGTTTTCAAAAGAAGTCTAATGTAAAAAAAAAAAAAAAGACAAGGGAAGGGAAGAAGCAAAAGACAGGGGAGGAGAGGGGAGGGGAAAAGAGGAAAGGTGTATTAGTCTGTTTTCACACTGTTGATAAAGACATACCCAAGACTGGGCAATTTACAAAAGACAGGTTTAATTAGACTTCCAGTTCCATGTGGCTGGAGAAGCCTCATAACTATGGTGGAAGGCAAGGAAGTCATGTCTTACATGGATAGCAGCAAAGAGAGAGCTTGCGCAGAGAAACTCCCATTTTTTAAAACCATTAGATCTCACGAAACCCATTCACTATCACAGGAACTGCACGGGAAAGACCCGCCCCCATGATTCAATAATCTCCCACTGGATCCCTCCCCGACACACGTGGGAATTATAGGAGCTACAAGATGAGATTTGGGTGGGGACACAGAGCCAAACCATATCAGAAAGGAAGGGAGGGAAGGGAAAAGAAAATGAGGCTAGGTGGGAGTGAGAAATTTTGAAAAGATGAATAAATGAAAAGGAATTTCACTCCCCTTCCCCTCAGTGTCACTACATTTCTCCAGTTAAGATTGATGATATAATTTATTGTTTGGATTTATCCTCCTCTAATAAGCTAAGTGGTCTAGCATTATAATATTTTTTTCTGACTCTTCAAAAGTAATATAATACTTTCTCTATTTGGATAAACTTTCAGCAGAATGTTTCAGAATTAGCCTGATATTCCACTTCACGAATTGCTAGTAAATAAATACAGATGTAAATATTTTTGTGTATTAGAATTAGATACAGTTTCCATTCCTTCAATGATACTATGTTTTTTGATAGAAAATGTCTGTTGAAATTTATAATGATTAAAAAGGTGTAGCTACTGAGAGAAATCTGTAAGAAAAACGACAGATTTATAAAGAAAATTCCCAAGTTTCTTCTAATAGCACAGGCAGATGAGATGGTTAATCCACAGCATACTTTCATGGTGATTTTCTACACTCCAGACAGGAACAGCTGCCACTTGGAAAAGAGATATCATCTGACTGATGACCACCTCTAATGATTTGACAGGTTCTTTCTGAGCAGCTGAACAATTAGTGTGCTTTTTGGCACAGACTGCATGTTTAACAAACTAATACCTAAAATCATTCCAATTTGGACTTGTATGTTTACAACTGTGATTGTTTGTTTAAATACCTTATTAGAATATTCACTGTGATCTTGGAAGTGGAAAAGTAGTCCAGGAAAAGGTCCCTGTGTTCAATTGCACTGAACACTTACCTAAGAACATGAAAAATTCTGGCTTCTAGTGCTGTTTAACCACTAAAAAGGCAATCAAAGAACCAAGTCACTTAACTCTCTATGCCCAAGTATCTTTATTTTACAAGGGAACTGAAGTAGGAGCTTGTACATATTAAATTCTATAATCATATCCAGATTTCATAAAATAAAATATTAAGGATGTAAATAAGCCAAAAATAAAAGTTCTCACAAATATGTTTATCTTAAAATTGAAAACTACTGTGTGTGGGGAAAAGAAACTTCCACAAAAAGGTGAAAGACAAGCCAACGTCTGGGCTTACACATGGGAAAGGTTTTATCTGCATGGCACTTATCTAAGAAAATGAAAATTTCATTTTTCCCTATAGTTATTTCCCTCTTAAACTTCTTCAAAGTTCTTAATTCCACATGAATACAAACTCTCTAGTTTCCAACCTACGCTTTCAGGCTTCTCTCTTATTACTTAGTATATAAAGTCCTAAAAGCAGTCTGGCTATCCAAATTTTCACATATGCTGCTTAAGGAACGACATTCCTCTTTTCTCCCGGCTAACTCCTATTTATTGTTGGAAGCTCAGTTCATATATCACCTCTTCTGAGAAGCCTTCCTTGATCATAAAATCCACTGTCCTCTTATGTCCTCTCAAGGTCTAATGTGTATACTTTTATAATATATGACTCTTCCTCTAATTATTTAATTTATCTCATTTGAATTTATGAGAACTGAGCTGGTTGATTCATTTTGGTAACTTATGTGCCTTGTACAGTTTCTAATGCATAGCAGACACTCAATAAATATCTTTAGAATGAATGGAGAAAAGTGAAGTCATGCATGCAATTCCCTCCAGGAAATTTATATTAGGGTTATTTTGAACACAAATAATTACATTTTACCTAAGTTTACTAACATTCGTAGTTAGTGTTCTATCATTCTGAGGAGCAGTGGGTGGGCTGAAGAATGTGCCTTAGACATAAAAAATAGTTTATTTGTTTTTTCTCAGTTGTGACATGTTATATCATAAACAGGAAGAGTAAGAATAAGAAAAAGAAGCCCTCTAGGCCAGGCACAATGGCTCATGCCTGTAATCCCAGCACTTTGGGAGGCTGAGGCAGGCAGATCGTGTGAGGTCAGGAGTTTGAGACTAGCCTGACCAACATGGTGAAACCCTGTCTCTAATAAAAATACAAAAATATACAAAAATATAGAGAGGTGTGTTGGCACGCACCTGTAATCCCAACTACTCAGGAGGCTGAGGCATGAGAATTGCTTGAACCTGGGAGGAGGAGGTTGCGGTGAGCCAAGATCATGCCACTGCACTCCAGCCTGGGTAACAGTGAGACTCCATCTCAAAAAAAAAAAAATTAATTAATTAATTAAAAAAAAAAAGAAAGAAAGAAAAAGAAAAAAAACACCTCTAAGAGAAATCTTTGTCTGTAATAACAAATACATTTTTTAAAGAAAATACTGTTTTATCAAATGTCTAAAAATTAAACATTCTTCCTTAGCATCATATTTCTGTCATTTTCAGATTAGAAAGCATAAATAACAGCAAAACAGAAAGGGGATGGTGGCCAAGTGAAATGAAAATAGAAGAACCAAAGCAAGAAAGTAAGAGCCTAATATGCTATCAACACATTATGAGTAATATCACTATTGTAATTCATTCATTTCAAATGTTGAAATCTTTAGCATAATTTAGATTTTTCAAACACTGGTAGCCAAGAATAAATTCTGGCAGATGACATATTATTTTTCATTCACATAATGAAAAGAGATGTTTATGGATATATAAAATTGAAAACATGTTCCTACTTAAAAAAAGGGATCATTAATGAGGTATGCAAATAGATCTCTCATCTGTTTTTGAAATGTTCATAAAAAGCAAGTTATTCATCTTGGGAAAATACAGCCACCATAAAGCATATCAACCACATCTTCAATCTTCTTTACATTAAAGAAGATACAATACCTTGTGATGTTACGGAATACCAATGGGAAATATTCTGGATAATTTATTCTGTTTGGTTCATTTTATTTTTCATATGCAAAAAGTCATGCTATTGCAAATGGAAACTTTCGGTATTCACTGCTATTGCTAAGATTCAGTGTTCCTAGATGCTAAAGTATCATCAGGTTAAAGCATTGATAACTTAATATACTCCATTTTATTACTTGTTTTATGTAAGTTTCACTCTGTGACCAAGCACGTGCTCCTCTGAAATTCTTCCTTGGGGCTATCGGATACATAACGTCACACTGCATAAAAGAGAGGGCCACTTAACCTTCCTTGTGGCTTTTTTGAGAAAGAGAGAGAGAAAAAAAAGATGCCCATTTCTGGGAGCCTCCATTTCTCAGCTGGACACTTCCCATGCCAGGCATCGCCACTGGATTTCCTCCCTACCGCTCCTCTAAGGAGACTTTCTTGGGCAAAGGTGTACTCTGGCCGTTTAGAAAAGAATCCTTACCAGGTACTTGCTAATGGTGTCAGGTTTCATTTTTTAAAGGAAAGCCTGGCATCCCTCTTGCTTCATAGAAGTCGGCTATGAAGCAATGGTGCAGAGTTACTTCCCTTTTTCATGTAGACCAGAGATCAACAGGAGATAAGTTGAGGTGGCCGTCCAGGAGATACAGGTGAAAGGGGATCTCAGTCTTTTTATGTGAAAGTTAGTTAATACAGTCAAGGACTCGGATCCATTCCAATTGGGCAATTGGACATGGGGACAACTTCAGTGGGCAAACTTGTCTGGTACTTCCTAGGTCTGTAGAGGTGAAGACATCAAGCTTCTGGAAAAAAAAAACACCTTGGATCAGGTCCAAAGGTTTGGGGCGGGAGGGGCTCCTTTCCAGAAAGCCTCTTGCTTGGTAGGTATCCATATATCAAACATGTGACTTATCACAGAATGTAATTGATCATAATGCCTTGTTAAATCTAACCCTTAATCATTAGCAAGGGAAAAACAAACAAAAAGTAAACAAATAAACAAAACTCTGATAAAGGAAGAGCACATGCCTCAAACTCTCACTTGAAGTATTTGGAATAGATTTGCCTTCTGTGATTGTGACTTTGCTTCGGGATTGCCAAATGCTGACTTTCCATATAAAACCAGCTTAAACATCTGAATATTTGTTTTACTACCATAAATAATTATTTTTGGTATCTTTCTATGCTCCTGGCAATTTAATATTTAAAGTTACCCTATGAAATAGGTGCCATTATTGTTAACTCCATTGTAATCCTATGACTTATCTTTATAGATGAGTTAATTAAAGCTTAGTGAGTGCAAGTAACTTGTCCAAGATCGTCGATTTCAGAAATGGTAGTTCCTGAACTCCATTTAGACTTCTTTGAATACAAAGTTGTTGCTCTTAACCGACTGGGGTCCTTTAGTATACATTCACATGTTGCTCTAAAACAGAAGTGGGCATACTATTTCTGCAAAAGGCTAGATGGTAAACATTTTAAGATTGAGAATCAAGAGGCAAAATCAAGGCTATATAGGTACTTCTAAAACAAAAGATAAAACCATTTTCACAAATACGTATTGATGAAATTCCAACTGCTATCACAATAATTGAGAGTCGATTGGTGGTTACCAGAGGCTAGGAAGGGTAAGAGGAAGGGGTGATAAAGAAAAGTTGATTAATGGGTATAAATGCATGGTTTGATAGAAGAAATAAGATGTAGTCATACATAGATCAGTAAGGTGACCATAGTTAATTAATCTCATATATATATTTATTCAAATATATATGTATATGAATATATATATTCAGATGTTTTATATATATATATATATATATATGTATAACAAAAGAAAAGACATGGAATCCACCCAAATGTCCATCAATGATAGACTGGATAAAGAAAATGTGGTACATAAATACCATGGGATACTACGCAGCCGTAAAAGGAAAGAAGATCATGTCCTTTGCAAGTACATGGATGGAGCTGGAAGCCATTATCCTCAGCAAACTAACACAGGAACAGAAAACCAAACACCACATGTTCTCACTTATAAGTAGGAACTGAACAATGAAAACACATGGACACAGGGAAGGAAACAACACACACTGGGATCTGTCATTGGAGGTTGTGGGGGAGAGAGCATCAGGATAAATAGTTAATACATGCAGGGCTTAATATCTAGGTGATGGGTTGATAGGTGCAGCAAACCACTATGACACATGTTTACCAGTGTAACAAACCTGCACATTCTGCACATGTATCCCAGAATGTAAAATTAAATTAAATTTAAAAATAAAAAATATTGGCTGGGCGCAATGGCTCACATCTGTAAATCCCAGCACTTTGGGAGGCCTAGGTGGGCAGATCACAAGGTCAGGGGCTCAAGACCAACATGGTGAAACCCCACCTCTACTAAAAATACAAAATTAGTTGGGCGGGCGTGCTGGTGGAAGCCTGTAATCCCAGCTATTCGGGAGGCTGAGGCAGGAGAAATGCTTGAATCCAGGAGTCGGAGGTTGCATTGAGCTGAGATTGCGCCACTGTACCCCAGCCTGTGCAACAGAAGGGAAACTGTCTCAGAATAAATAAATAAATAAATAAATAAATAAATAAATACATAAATAAATACATAAATACATAAATAAAATGTTCTTCTCTTTTTTATTTTAAAATACCTATAAAAGAAACATTCAGGACAAATATTTAAGGTGATGGATATCGCAAGGACATTGATTTTTATCTTTACAAATTATACAAATGTATTAAATTATTCACACATACCCACAAACTATGTCCATCTATTATGCATCAGTAAAAAATAAAATAAAATAAAATAAATGCAATCACAAAAATTGATAACTTTTTAAAATTTGCTAATAGAAGTCTACTGATGAGAAGAATGGAACTTATGTATAAGGGAGATAAAATTTCAATTAACTGGAGTTCAAAGTTAGAGTTCCTTACTATCAAACCTATCACAAATGCTCATCTGTCAAAACCATTCTTAGTCTTACAAAAAGTTAGCATCACATTTGTTTCCTAGACTGTAGTTTGCTCTAAAAGCGTCTGTGTTCAAGGATCTGTTTGTTTGCAGATCTGTTTGTTTGCGAATTATAAGTGTACCACAAAGACTTCCCTGACAGCTTTACACAGAGGCTAGAATATTTCTTGGTATAGTAAGAGTATTTCTTATGCATACATTTTCCCAGAAATTAACTCAGCCCCAGCATCTACTTCATTATGTAGAACTACCCTTTGGAGATCAAATCATAATTTTACAGCATTTTCCAGGTATGTTTCTAACTCCTGCATTACTGATAATATGAAACCTAAACATATAAGCAAAACATATACTACATTCAAGGCAAAGTACATTCTATTACTTTGTAAAATATACAAAAAAAAATTAAAGAAAATTTAAATGGCTCTAATTATATACAAACTACAATTAAAGAAAACCCTCTTAAAGCTAAGGATGGCTTAAATATTTATTGAACTATGGCTGCAGGAATTACATAACGCAATAAGATTATTAATTTAATATGCACTTTAATGAGTTTTCTGTTTGGGAAGGTCCAGAAGGCTTAATTCCCAAAAGTGATACCTGCTAATAACATTTTAATGTTAAAGTTATCCAATTCAGATTAATATATCTAAAGTCCAGCAATATGATATGTTCAGCTCATAAATGAAATTAACTATACTACATTTGAGATTCATTCAAATCTAAGAGAAATCTTCCTTTTATTTTAAAAATTTATATCTTGTTAGGAAAATGTAATGCTCAAGCTTCAGATTCATTATTTTTATTTTACTCCAATTGTTTTAAAAGAATAGTATAATGTTAATGGTTCAATTGAAGATTCTTAACAAGCCTTTGAACATTCTTTTCTTAACCCCAGGGTCTTGCTTTGATTTGCCTCTCATTTAGCATGCTGATGGGGGTGGTTTTTTAAGAACGCTTAAGAAGTTTAGGTTTGTGTCATAATTAAGATGAAAATAAGCACACGAGAAACCTTGATGAATAAATGCCTTGTCATACTGATGCTTCTTCAATAATAAGTATTAGCCTTTTTTGAGGTTCTAATATCTCAATTGCATTTCCGGTCTTCCAACAACGTGTTAGAGCAGATGTTGCGTGAGATAGAGTTTGGCAACTCTCTTCCACTCCTTTGTAAGCATTTAGAATATACCTCTGATCTTAAATCTGGCTGTCAACTGTTTAAGAACTTACTGAAAAATGCAAGGGTCAGGCACTAAGTCAATGGTACCAATTTAGCTTTCAAATTAAAAAACTTAAAAAAAAAAAAAACAAGACTGATGATGTGCCTAACATTATTTTTAAGACAACCATGAAATGAAGTTCTTGCTCCTGTGACTAGGCTCACAAAGCCAGATCCAATAGAAATCGGTTCGTGGCCTAATAAAGCCTTGGATGATCATCAATGCTTGATTTACAATAAGCAAAGGATCATGAAAACTTGCTGAAAGCAGTCACATGGAAATCAGTGATACTGAAGTGGTACAAGAGAGCCTGGAGAAAAGTACACAAGAGGCTACAGCAACTTGTCACAGATTTCTTTCTTCTGAAGTTAAAACTTTCAAAAATTTCTTTCCCCTTGGAAAAGCATATGATTCCATGTATCATTTGGGAACTGCTGGGAGAATTCAGTGGGACAGTTGAAAAGTCCCTGTTGATTGGTGAAATAGATCTTCTAGAGAGACTGCATCAGGATCAATTACCCCAGGTTTCTCCTGAATGGTGGCAAGGCAACTGAGTAAGAGAGTGATTTATTGAACAATTTAACAGATGTCATGCTGGGTGGGTAGTATCTATGGGATGTGTCCATGGAGGAAAAAATAAAATCAATTCTGTAATGAAATATTTGGCTATAGTTGGCAAAAGATAAATTCCAGAAATGGAGTCTCCCTGAAGACAATTCAGTAAGAAGTAGAAGAAACTGTACTTTCTAGATAATGGTGGTGTCGGGGCGGGGGAGTACACAATTTAGATGAATATCCCTAGAAAGCTAGCTAAAGGAACAACTATTATAATTCACGAATTATCAATTATTTAGAAGTGGAACAAAATACAAATAAGAGACCAAGTTTATAGCTTAGCTTGTAATCTTAGCTGCCAGCCTTATCCCCAGCCTCAAGGTCTGAAGTTGTTTTCTATGTTTTCTTATTGTAACACAAAAATTTTATTCTAAATTTTACATACCAGCTCATTACACTAATCAAATAAATTATGCACTAAGCACAAATTGCTTAGTTCTTCATTCTGCTCATTTCTCTGAGTGTGTGTACGTAGAGTCGGCTGTAGAGTTCAGGTTTTTCTTTTGAAATATTACAGATATTTCTTGGAGCTGTTGTATCTAGTCTTTTTATAAAGAAAAGATTACTCAAAGTTTAATCATGCTTCCCATTTAACTATATTAGATAATTTTAACTTTGCTTGGAAATTCTCTAAGATATAGCAAAGGGCTTATTCCATGTTATTCTCAAACTGTTTGCCAACAACAACAACAAAAAAAAAGTCTGCGTCTACATAAAGCGGTGGTGGGTTGGAACAGTGAAAATAAAACTCAACTGGAAGTTTTGGAGCTAGATTACACCTCAAAAAACCAACTAGACAGACACGTTTTCATAGCCAGAGAGCCAACAGACCAGAAAAATGACAGACCAAAGCAAATATTTGACTGTTTGCATGTTGAAGTTATTTTTGATAGAAGTACCTCCTTGATGGTCCATGGTTTCGATATACGCATATAATTGATGACAATATCATGTTATCTACAAGCAAAATAACTTCATGCCAAATATTCTGAGTTAAAATTTCAACTCACATAAAGTATCTTTTACTGTTTCTTCCCTTAATATTTTTATTCCCTTTTGCCCTTTTCGAAAACTATGGGGAATTCCTTCTACGTTCTACTGTAATTTAAGTATCATTTCTTTACTGCAAATTCTCTCAGTTCTCAAAATGTATACATTTAGCACTTCTCAATCATATATTGTGTATTAGTCTGTTCTCATGCTGTTAATAAAGACATACCCTAGACTGGTTAATTTATAAAGAAAAAGAGGTTTCATGGACTCACAGTTTTGCATGACTGGGGAGGCCTCACAATCATGGCAGAAGGCGAATGAGGAGCAAAATCGTGTGTTATTACACGGTGGCAGGCAAAAAAGCTTATGAAGAACAACTCTTATTTATAAAACCATCATGTCTGGTGAGACTTATTCCCTACTATGAGAAAAGTATGGGGGAAATCACCCCCATCATTCAATTATCTCAGATAAATATTTTTAGTCCTAGAAATGAAGAATTGTTTTCTTCTACTAATTTTCTAAAATGCAATCAAACAAGTACATATGTTATCAGAACTCTAAAACATATTACCTTACTCTATTTAATACCATTCATAAAATATATAACTCATGTTTTACTCTAGGTATTGCTGTTCTGAAGTGAAACCGAAGGAAAGCCAAGCCATTTCTCTCTTTTTTTTTTATACATTAAGTTCTAGGGTACATGTGCACAACGTGCAGGTTTGCTACATATGTATACATGTGCCATGTTGGTGTGCTGCACCCATTAACTCATCATTTACATTAGGTATATCTGCTAATGCTATCCCTCCCCACTCCCGCAACCCCATGACAGGACCCGGTGTGTGATGTTCCCCATCCTGTGTCCAAGTGTTCTCATTGTTCAATTCCCACCTATGAGTGAGAACATGTGGTGTTTGGTATTCTGTCCTTGTGATAGTTTGTTCAGAATGATGGTTGCCAGCTTCAATGATGTCCCTACAAAGGACATGAACTCTTCCTGTTTTATGGCTGCATAGTATTCCATGGTGTATATGTGCCACATTTTCTTAATCCAGTCTATCATTGTTGGACATTTGGGCTGGTTCCAAGTCTTTGCTGTTGTGAATAGTGCCGCAATAAATATACATGTGCATGTGTCTTTACAGCACCATGATTTATAATCCTTTGTGTATATACCCAGTAATGGGATGGCTGGGTCAAATGGTATTTCTAGTTCCAGATCCTTGAGGAATCGCCACACTGTCTTCCACAATGGTTGAACTAGTTTGCAGTCCCACCAACAGTGTAAAAGTGTTCCTATTTCTGCATATCCTCTCCAGCACCTGTTGTTTCCTGACTTTTTAATAATTGCCATTCTCACTGGTGTAAGATGGTATCTCATTGTGGTTTTGATTTGCATTTCTCTGATGGCCAGTGATGATGAGCATTTTTTCATGTGTCTGTTGGCTGCATAAATGTCTTCTATTGAGAAGAGTCTGTTCATATCCTTTGCCCACTTTTTGATGGGGTTCTTTGATTTTTTCTTGTAAATTTGTTTAAGTTATTTGTAGATTCTGGATATTAGCCCTTTGTCAGATGGGCAGATTGTAAAAATTTTCTCCCATTCTGTAGGTTGCCTGTTCACACTGATAGTAGTTTCTACAGCCAAGCCATTTCTAATAAATGAGAACACAAACGTGAAATCACTGGGGCCGTGTTTTACGTGTATTATTCTAAAAACTTATTAAATAAAAAGAAATGCTAAAGAAACAAGGAAATGCAAGCAAGGAGCCAGAACAGCAAGCTAACAATCTCCAAAATCCCTGCCAGGACTAATATTCTACACCTGAGAATTATGTATGAAAGTACAAACTAGGAATCAGTAAACATTATTTGTTAGGAATGCTGTAGTAGACAGAATTCTAAATTGGTTCCAAGATTCCCATCTCTTGGTGGACACTTCTTGCATAACCTTCTCCCTTTGAGTGTGAGAAGAACTTGCAGATGTTCTGGGATTTTATTCACATGATTTGCTTATGCTATATGGGAATGATGTGATTAAGATCCCTAATTAGACTGGACAGGGTGGCTCATGCCTATAATACCAGTACATTGGGAGGCTGAGTAAGGAGGACTGCTTGATCCCAAGAGTTTGAGACCAGCCTAGGCAATAGAATGAGACCTTGTCTCTACAAAAAAAAATTTAAATTAAAAAAAAAAAAAACACTTAGCTGGGCATAGTGGCACATATCTGTAGTCCCAGCTGCTCATGAAGCTGACGTGGAAGGACTACTTCGGCCCAGAAGTTCAAGGCTGCATTGAGCTGTGATCATCCTACTGCACTCCAGCCTGGATGACAGAGCAAGACCCTGTCCTTTAAAATAAAAAGTCCCTTACTAGTTTGCTTTTAAATAGACCTGACCTAATCTAATGAGGCCTTTAAATCTGGGCCAGAGTTAGAGAGAGTCAGAGAGATGCAGGCAATCTCCTGCTGGCCTGGGAAAAAGGAGGTATCCATGTTGTGAACTACCTATGGAGGGACCACATGACCAGGACACTTTAGTTGCTGACAGCACCCACAGCCCATAGCCAAAAAAATAAAAAATAAAAATAAATAAATAAATAACAGGAATCTCAGTTCAACAAGAACATGAAAAAAAAAAAAAAAAAAACCTGAACTCTGCTAACAAGTAGAATGAGCTTGCAAGAGGACCCTGAGCCTCAGATGTTCATAGGGCAGCTGATACCTGCACTGCATCTTTGAGACCCTGAGAAGAGGCCCCTATTAAGCCATTCACAGACTTGTGACCCAACAAAACTGTGAGATAATAAATGTGTGTTCTTTTAAGCCATTACTTCTGTGGTCACTTTTTATACCAATGACAAACTAACACAGATGCCAATGCAGATGCTTTGTAATTAAATGAGCTCACATATGTAAAGCTCCTTAGCACAGAAACGGGTACGGAGTGGCTAGTTTTTAAATAATTGCTCTTTTATCCATATTATGTGTCACAGTTCTCAGGCGGTACTGATAAAACAAATATTTTTCAGTATTGGCATGGAAAAATATATGACAAATTCTGGAGGGCTGTCCAGTAATATGGCATCACACAGCCTTTGTAATGTAGACTGTGGTGCTGTTATACATTATAAAAATTAAAAAACCTCATTTTTCTAGTTCAACTCCAATGAACAAGGGACATGTTTATCAATTGAGTGGGGAGGCATCATAGTAATGCTTACTAATGGCCATAGGCTAACGAACTGGTTTTCCTTTTTCTTTTTCCTCTATTTTACTGCTTTTCCAGGTCATAGGCTTTGATATTTTCTTCTATGGTATATTAGTTTTCTAGGACTATCACCACAAACTGGTGGCTTAAAACAACAGAAATGTATTGTCTCATAGTTCAGGAGGCTCCGAAATTAAGCTGTCACAAGGTTGGTTCCTTCCAGTAAGTCTGAAGGAGAAAATATTCCAAACCTCACGCCTAATTTCTGATGGTTTCTGTAATCATTGTCATTCCTTGATATTCAGATGCATCCTCCAATCTCTGCCTCCATCTGCCCATTGCTTTATCTGTGTACTTGTGTATCCTGTTTTTTTCTGTCTCCTGTGACTCCCTATGGATTCAGGGCTCACCCTCATCCAGTAAGATCTTATCTTGATCCTTACCTTAATTACATTTGTGAAGATCATATTTCTGCATAAAGTCATATTTTGAGATTCTGGGAAGATATGATACACTATTCAACCCATTACGTGTGATAGCATCCACAGAGCAAAGCATTCCACTGGACGTGTATTGGTTTCTTAATTAATATACAAACAATTTCATAACTGAATAATGTGAGCAATTATATTACTGAATAACAATTTGCTAAATAATTTAACACAAAGAAATGGATTAAAGACAAAAAAGATGGACAGTGATCAGTGAAAAGGGCATCAAGCTAATTGTAAAGCAATGTTTGTTTAAGTTCATCAGAAGGTTTGAGATTATCAGCAAACTTCTCACATCTCTAGATCTTTGTTTTATCTTTTATGAATTAAATATATTAGATGATCTGGAAGACACTTTCTAGTTCCAAAATTTTATGATTCTAATGATTATAACTGTCATTCATTCAATTATTTTGTGATAGTTAAATGGCATATATACCACTTGGGAGATATTAGTACCATCTTCTAACACTATTTTTTTCTGTTTCTATTAAAGGAAAGGGAAATATAGTTAGCTTTCCCCAAGCACTGTCTTCATAATTTCATGCAAAGTAAGTTGAAGGAATCCTTCACAGTTAAAAGGTTCTGCAGAAGAAAGAATCACACAGGAAAGAACTGGTTTGTGGATCAGGGCCTACTGATTCAAAATTCAGCAGAATTTCATTCATTCAAATATTTTTAGCATCAACACCATTTTAGAAATAAAAAGTAAAAGGTTTAAATAAGTGTAGGATGCTCATGATTCTTTTAGGACGTTACAGAAAAAATATTTATTTTAATTAACAGCACAGTGTGCTTATTTTCCTTGAACTTCTAAAATAAAGAATAAAAACTTTATTAAGAGAATGGTATGTGAATAAAACAAACTTGACTAAAAGCATTTCTCCCTCTCCTCACCCCACCGCCAGGCCAAACAAACAAACGAAAATTCTAGCTTTGGTAATCCTCGAAGGTATGATCCCTCTTCATTTTTCAGTCTATTTCTCCTTTATTCTTTTAAGTTATTAGTTCTTACTCTCACTTCTCTCCTCAAATCTTTAAAAAACTTTCACCTACATTCTCAGTGATTTATTTATTTTTATTTTATTTTATTTTTTAATTTTTGAGACAGAGTCTCACTCTGTTGCAAGTGCAATGGTGTGATTTCGGTTCACTGCAACTTCTGCCTCCGGGTTTCAAGCGATTCTCCTGTCTCAGTCTCCCAAGTAGCTGGGATTACAGACAGGCACCACCACACCCAGCTAACTTTTTTTGTATTTTTAGTAGAGATGGGGTTTCACCACGTTGACCAAGCTGGTCTTGAACTCCTGACCTCAGGTGATCCACCCACCTCAGCCCCCAAAGTGCTGGGATTACAGGCGTGAGCCGCTTCGCCCGGCTCAATGGTCTTTCTATTTCACTGAGAACGTAGAAATCATGAAAAGTAGCATTCACAAGCACTCAGTAACATTCCATTGACCTGTCGCCTTTAGCCCTACCTATCTTTCATCACCATGACCATGACCCAGATGTCGAAGCAGCTGCTCAAACGTGCCCCTCTGTGGCCCACAGATTCTCATTTCAGGTTCTGGAGGGCACTACACCGGCAATTCTCCTCTCTCCCTCCTGAATTATCCATTTGTTTTTCTCTTTAACGTTCAAGCATACTATTCATATTTATTCCATGTTTAAAAAAAGCAACAAAGAAAACACCTTTAAGTAACAACTATATTGAATCCACAACCTCCTCCAGTTATGCCCTATTTCTCTGCTTCCATTTTCACCAAAACTTCATGAAGTTATCCAGCCCTTTTCTCTCCTTCAGTCTTGAACTCACTGCAATCACACTTTCATTCCAAATACCTCATTACAACATTACAACAGTTCTTTTCCAGCTGCGATAGCCTGTGTTTTGATAAAACTGGCCATCAGTTTTCAGTTTCTATTTGACCTCTTAATAGTAGCATTTAAATCTATGTCTCCTCCCTCCTAAAAACGCTTCCTCCACTTGAGCTCCCAGGCCCTGCTCCCTCTGCTTCTCCTCCCATACCCCAGCCATACCTTCTATTTCTGGTCCTGAATCTGCCTATTCTCTCTGACTCATAAAGTCCTTGCTCTCTTTATCATTGTTACCTCTGTATATTCTCCTTCTCTGTCTCTGTAGCTAACTTCATTCAATCTCCTGTCTTATATTTTTAACTATCTCCTCTGAAGCCCGACTGAACTACGCAACCTCTTTTCTCTTAAACAATTAGCAGCATCACAAATTTAAAATATCCCCAAATGAATCACTGATCTCCTCTCCCTCCACTGCCACCACCCTGAGTCAAGCCAAAAATATCTCTTACCCAGGCAACTGCAGTAACCACCTACCTAGTCTCCCTATGTCTTCTTCCTGCTCTGTTCCAGTCTATTCCACACCATACCCCTAAAGATCCTCTTACCGAGTCAGACTATTCCACATCTCTGATAGTAGGAGGGAAGACAAAATCCATCAGAGCTGAGCCAGGACCAGACCAGATGAGGCTCAGCTCTGATGGAGTTCTATCTGGAGCTCTCTCTGCTCCTTGTGCCCAGGCCACACTGCCCCCTTGCTGTTTCTTTTCTTATTTTAATTTCAACTTTTATTTTAGATAGAGGGGGTCATGTGAAGATTTGTTACACAGGCATATTGCGTGATGCTGAGGTTTGGGTATGAATCTCATCACCCAAATTAATTAAGCCACTGTGGAAAGCAGTCTGGAGATTTCTCAAAGAAAAAAGCAAGCTGCCATTCAAAGCAGCAATCCCATTAGTGGGTATATGCCCAAAGGAAAATAAATTATTCCACCAAAAAGATACATGCACTCATATGTACATCACAGCACTATTCACAATAGCAAAGACTTAGAATCAACCCAGGTGCCTATCAGTGGTAGATTGGATAAAGAAAATGTAGTACGTATACACCGTGGAATACTACACAGCCATAAAACAGAATGAAATCATGTCCTTTGCAGCATCATGCATGTAGTCAGAGGCCATAATCCTAAGAAAATTAACATAGGAAGAGCAACCCCTTCCTGTTTCTTGATCAAACCATGCTTTTTACTGCTTCCAAACCTTTATAATTTCAGCTCATTTTTTTCTGGAAATGTTCTTCTTACTCACATGTTTGCTCAAATGTTACTTGATTATAGGGGCCTTTCTTGAAAACTCTAAATAAATATCAGAATGAGCCTCCCTCCTCCAACACTTTTGTTTTCCCTAACCTTGATTTGTTCTTCTACACAGCACTCTCTCACTTTGATGTATTCTACATAGACTTGTTTACTTATTTATTAATTGATTTACCTCTGTGTAAAGGTGAGCTTCATGGGGACAGTTATCTTGTCTGCTTTCTTTCTTGTTATATTATCAATTCCTAGCTTAGAATCTCACATATTGTTGGTGAGCTCAAGAAATGTTTGTGAAATTGCACAGATACCAGGAAATAAGTGTTAAAAAGTGTGTAATATGATCTCAAAGTTTATTTCGGTGTATAATCAATGTCTTTCTAATTTGCATTTTGCATTGTGTGGCTGGACTTAATATGTGATGAAAGAGATTGAAGCTCTTGGAAATACGGTTGAAGAGTGAAGAGATTTTATAGCTGAAATGGCAACAACTTGTTCTTCCTCCCAGTATTTGCAAAGTAAAGCAAGCAGCATCTTGTTAACTTCTGCCCAATTAGCTCTAGAATATGCCCTCCACATTAAATAGCCAACATATACTACAGATAAATCCAACAGATTTATGTAACCTCAGCAAAGTAAATTTAGAAAAGTATAATCCACAAACAAGCCAATGCCTGTGGCTTGGATAAAGCAGTTTGATCCGCTGGAACTGTAGGGACAGATTTGGATTCAAATCTCAGCACTGCTACCTACTAATAATATACCATGAAAGAACTCTTTGATCTTTCTAAACCCCAATGCCTTCAGTCGTAAGGATTTTGCCTGAGTTGCTTAAAGCATGCTAGTTTGTCTGTTTATTAATACCTAGTTTCAGCATTTTATTTAATCAAAAGAAAATACATCTGACCTCTACCTGCCCTACATGGCTAATTTTAATATCTGACGAGAATAAACTGGTCTAACATACAATTATTTTTCTCTTACAACTAACTCTTCAAAAATCTCCATCTTTTTAACTATAGATAATATTGTCCAACTGAGTATAATCTATGCAAATGCTATTACACAAATACATTGAAAATTATATAAGGAAAACTTTAATTATAAATTACTAAGCTTTAGATAACTTTAAAGACATCTAATCCATTTTGATGGGTAATGAAAATGAGCCAATATATTCTTGCTAGACATGGAAGTTGCAAGACATTTATTACAATCAAATACTTCCCCGGATAATATACAACAAGATAATAAATGTTACAGATTACTAACCACATAAAATCACATTGAAATTGTGCATCTTTGTTTTCCCTCAGCAATAGAGGCAGTCTTCACTTTACATAGTTCTCTAATAACATATCAGAACTGTGTCTCCCTTTGCATGTTCTGACGTGCAGGCAGAATCCACAGGCATGATTCTGGGCAGAGAATAGCCTGTATAGCTTAGTGGTTAAGATTACACCTCCTGTGGCCAAACAGTTCAACTCCAATACTTCTGCATTTCCCTCAGTTTATTCATGTATAAAGTAAAAGACATAATAGTTCCTGCTCCTGGAGGCTGAGGCAGGTAGGGTAGCTTGAGCCCAGGACTTCAAGGTTACAGTGAGCTATGACAGTTCCACTGCACTCCTGCCTGGGTAACAGAGCAAGATTCTGTCTCTAAAAAAATAAATGATCAAAATAAAAAAGCTAAATTAAATAATAATAAAATTAAACTGCCAAAATGTTTATTACTTTGAGCTATTTTTAATTTGGTCCAAACCAATACATTTTGATTAATTACTAATTTGATGGGGTTGGTGGGGTGTGCGAAGCAAGCCAGCAAGAAGTTTTAGTTCTCATTGTTACTCAAACAGAATGGATTTTTCCCCTATGAATTCCAAAAGGAAACTCCCCGTTTGTAATCATAAAATCCTTTTATGCAAAATAAAATAAACATAATTTTACTTCCAAATTCCATAAATGTGAATAAGGTATTTTATGTTCATGCTTTGGCATTTTTCAGTACATTGTTCTTTCCTGTCTTCTAGCATCACTAAAGTAGAGATTACGTTCATTTTGGACAGATAATAACACAATTGATCTAGTCCTCACTTTTCTCACTTGCTAACTTCGATTTCTTTACCCAATGCTAGGAATTCTGACATAAAGGGTAAACATATTTAGATAGAAATTTTGAATAAAGTAATTTGCATACCCCTTTGCCTCCACTGGAGATTTCTGTAGTAGAGATGTACTATTGGTTCTTCCAATGAGGCATTCATTCTACAAAGATGAATTATATTATACAGCCGGCAGTACATTTGCTATAGTTTTCACATTCTCCAGTGTTGAATGGACCACTGCCCCACAGAAGATAAGAAAACGCTTTCAAAATTTCAAAATATAGTTTTAAAAAATTAAGGCTGTGTTGTGAAATAAAAGATAAAAGCTAATACCATTTATTTGTTCACAGTAAAACTATATTTTGCATAAGCTTCTAGAGCCAGATGTTTTCTAGTTGTACTATTCAATTATGGTTTTTCAACAAATTCATCATTATTAGTCTTATAATTACATAGGAAATTCTGCCACAGAATGAAGAATACTTAATGTGAGTATTTATACATTTATACAGTTGATAATTAATTGAGTGATGTAAACAGAAAATTTAGTGATTACAGTTTATACAGCATCTTAATTATCATATTTATTTTTAAATTTTAGACGTGTGCCAACAATAAATACACAACTAAGCTTCATTAGTATGATCAGAGGCATAAGTTCTCAAGGAAATATAGTGGATTCAATACCTGTTTGAAAAATTTGACCTGTAAAAATCTGTTATCATTGAGAAAGTCTCCCACTTCCTCTAATAGACCTTTCCATAAGAAACTACCTAGACAATATATAAATACTACACTAAGAATCTAATTGTCGAGTCTTAAAACATATTTTTATATTTATAATTCACCTACAAGAAGGTATTTCTTCATTATTTTGTGCTAGAGTGACCTTATTGCTTTACAGAGGTAAGATTTTGCCATTTCCAACCAAAACTTTTGACTTAAATTTGTTTCAGAATTCACACTTTTCTTTTTCTTTTTTCTCAGAAAAGTATTGCATTGCAAATACAATATGTCCTAACAGGTTTTTGAGGCAGCATCTGCAACAACCACGTTAAAATCTCTGCCAAAAATGTGTTAATAATCATACTAAATGGCATAAAGGGAAACTACTTTAAAAACTCGCATTATTTTCTTATTTGGCTTAATTTTTTCAAGTTAGGTATTATTGGCATATGAGCTTTGGAAACACTTGATTTTAAGAACTCATGTGGCTTTGGAATTTCAGATAAGGTATTATGAACCTGTGTTGTCTGTGATCAAAGTTTTATTATTAACACAGTTAATAATAACCCCACTGAAAATAACCCCATATAGTTAATAATAAGCCCACTGAAAAACAAGAAAACTGGTAGCTACTTTATTATTTTCCTTGACTTCCTAGGCTTCAGTGTGAATCAGATAATAACATGTTCCTCATCTAATATAAAAACATCTCTTTAATCTCTTACCTGTCTCCCTAACTCGAAAATATATTCCCGTAGAAGTAATAATTGGCTTCAGTCCACAGTTTTATTGAACAGCTGCTATGTGCTCAGAACCACACTGGTGAGAGTACAGTTTTGCATTTTGAAAGGCCTTCTCCTATCATTGCTAACAGAGCAAAAGTAACACGCATAGAAATGTATCAATTAATACAAGGCAGAGTATATTCTTTTATTACCTTGTAGTGTGAAATGATGTAATATGTCAGGGAAGAGCAATTGTGAGGTGGAATATTTCTGCAAAGTTTAGATGAGGAAGTAAGCCTTCTGTAAGTTTTTGGTAACTATTTAGGAACAAGGACAGAAGGAACATCAAATAAGTTAATGAGCATGAACAAAGGAAGGGAAACAATAATTATTGAGCAACTATTCTGTGTCAGGTAACATATTACATTTGTAAATGCATTATCACTCTAGAAATAATTCATGTGTAATATAAACAGAAAGATAAAATATGTGCTGGCGAAAAAATGTGTATAAGGACTGATAGACAATGACATGCATAGAGTATAGTCTGATACAAATAAAACAAAACTAGTCATGTGCCCTCATGTATCATATATAAGTAAATATTTCACAGGCTGCTTCTTTTATGTTTTTCACATAAACTACTTAATAATGATTTGAAATGAAGTTCCTTGGTGGATGGGGGTAGGCTGTCTTTGGCAAAGTTACCAAAAAGTATGTACTCCCTTTAAACACATACGAGGTGTGCCGAATCCTCCCTATCGTAAAGATGTCCTAAACCCTGGGACCTATGAATATGTTGGTGATATGGCAAAAGACACTGCAAATGTTTTTAAGGTTATATATCTTAAAATGGAGACATTATGCTGGATATTTTCCAGCAGATTCAACCGGACCACAACAGCCCTTAAAATCAGAGCACGTTATCCTGTTCGAGTCAGAAATGGCAGAAAGAGGAGTCAGAGAGGGGCGGCAGAAGGGCAGACCACAGAGATGAAAACACAGCAACTCGATCTGCTGCTGCTGGCCTTGAAGGCTGATTAAGGGGTCCATGAGCCAGGATATACAGGAGGCCTTTAGAGAAAACTTAGAACGACCTCTAGCTTATAGCCAGCAAGGACACAGGAACTTTAGCTCTATCACTCCATGACGCTGAATTCTGCCACTACCATAATGAGCAGATTCTTTCCCAGGGCTCACTGAAACCTTGGTTTCAACGTTTTGAGGCTCTGAGTAGAAAAATCAGCCCAGCCTAATAGAACTTCAGTGACATGAATAGAAACTTACAAAATTGTGAGATAATAACTTTACGTTGTTTCAAACATCACAGAGTGTGATAATTTGTTATGGCAGGAATAGAGAACTAATATAATTAGAATTGAATGGATACACACATTAAGAAGTATGTGATTGCATTTAGTATAATGATTTTTAATGCTCCAAGGTGGTATGCATTTTTTAAACACTTTGCAAATTGCTCTCTAAGGCACTCTTACCCCACAGAAGACATAGTGAGTTTTAGTATAAAGTAATTTTTATAGCCTTGACCAAAAAAAATTTAAAATTGTCACAATGCCAATTAATTTTCTATTTCATGAGTTAAAAATTAAGGAAGACTTACTAACAGCTTCGCTTATTTTCAAAAGCATGTCTCTATTCTATTCTCTGGAACAAGAGTAGCTACTTTAATTAGGTAAATTTTCCCCAGATTCTGACATTGGATAATAACATATACCATAAGTTTACTCACTACACTTACAGATATTTTTCATTAAGAATGTAATAATGCTCACACCTTCATTAACTCTGTTTAGCAGTGTTAATTACATTGGATGCTGAAGTCTCTCACAGTTTTTTTCAATGCCATTTCATCAAAGCATTGGATCTCATGGCTAGAATATAATAAATGTATAATAGAGTTAATATTTATGTAACACAAACCCTTTCTGTTAGTATCGTGTTCACAAAGGCAGGAGCCATAGCTTATTTATCAGTGTTTACAATCTCTGGCATTAGGTCCTCAGCCTTCATTCTCATGTTGTAGAATTTAACCATTTGCATTCAAAAATATCTATGAAAATGTCTATTTATTTAGTCATTCACAATAGGCAACATGAATTCAATGTCAAAGATGCTGACTTAATATCTTCTTAACTTTAATTAATGCATTCTGTAGGGACTCTAGCAGAGCAGTAAAGTATAGGGGAGCCTGTATTTGTCACTCTCCTCTAACAAATCTTAATATTACCCTATATATAATATGTTTAAATTGCAGCATGATAGCTTATGGAGAAAGCTATTCTAGGATAAATTAAGAGGTAGCAGATTTAACCCTGGCTATACTAACAAATGTCTGTATGACACTAGGAAAGCCATTTAATATTTCCAGCTGGCAATTTGTCTGTCTCTCTTAATATGAATTTAGAACAGGTTATCTCTGAAAGCCCATCCATATTTATGTCTCAATCTATAAAACACATATGGTTAAAGTAACTTTGGTAACTAGGATTTTGTCTGTTAAATGTCTGATCCAGATAGATTACGAACTGCCCTTGAAAAATGGTACTGTCCAAAAGAAAACATGTATTCTATGTTAAATGTCTTTTTACTCTCTTATCATTTTAACACAGTGACCAGGCCTGGAAGACTGTGAAGGTGACCAACATTGTAGCAAATATTTTGATTAAAAAATAAGTAATTTTATGTTTGCATTTTTGTTTTAGGTTGGATGAACAGTCAGAATGGCTTTTTTTTAATACTTGACTTCTGGTATTTATAAAATTTATCGTGGATTTTAATTGGCAGTAAATATTTTTGATTTAATAGAAGACAATTAGTAACTTGTTCATTTCCCTTAGATTATCTGGAGACAAGAGTAATCTCTGTCTTTATGATTCTATGATATATATTTTGATAAAATTCTATATTTCAAGTTTTTGTTACTCAACATATCAAAACTATTTTTTTTGACTACCATTTGGCAATCTCAGTAATCGGTGTTAATTTTTTTCTTGTTTTAACTAGAAACAGTTTATTTTTGAGTTACAGGATTTTGTATTATTGAGTCCATTTTTAAACTCCTATTGAAAAGTGGGTGCTTTATTAAAAATATTTGTATTTAAAAAAGATCTTTATTGAGGTAGAATTTATATAGTAAAATCTGCATGTATTTAAATTGCATAACACAAGAATTCATATGTGCATATATCTGTGAAATCAACCTGACAATCAAGATGATAAATGTTTTCTCATGCTCATTTGTAATCTCTGCCCCTAGGTCCCCTTTGCATTCCTACAAACCTCCCTCCCCATCTGCAGGTAAACATTAATCCTCTTTCTGTCACTATATATTAATTTGCATTTTCTAGGAATTTATATATATGTAATCATAAAGTATGTATTTTTTTTGGCCTGGCTTCTCTCACTTTACGTACTTATTTTGAAATGAATCTGTTATTTTACAAGTATCAATTGTTGGTCACTGTTTTTTATTGCTAAATTGTATCCCATGATATAAACACAGCAAAATTGTCCATTTTCCTGTTGATATATATTTAGGTTGTTTCTGGTTTTAGAGGTATGATATTGGTTGAATTATGTCTTTCAAAAATTCATATGTTGGATTCCTAATCCCCAGTATTTTGGAATGTGAACTTATTTGGAAATAGGGTCATTGTGAATTTAATTAGTTAAGTTAAAATGAGGGCCATACTGGTGTAAAGTGAGCTCTAATCCAATATGACTGGTGTCCTTATAGAAAGGGGTAAGATTTAGAAGGAAGACAACGTGAAGACACAGAGAAAAGACCATCCACAAGCCAAAAAATGCCAACTTTTCACGCCGCTTACAAAGAAAGATAGTTTTACATCTTCCTTTCTCATTTATATGTTATTTATTTGCTTGATTATCTATCTTTCTATCTATTCATCTATCATCCATCTATGTTACTATATAATTATTTTTGCCTTATTTGACTTGCTGGAATCTCCAATTCGATGTTTAATAGAAATGGTGAGAATGGACATTTTTGCTGTGCTCCCAATATTAAGGGGAAAAGTTAATATTTCAACATTAAGTGTGATGTTTGCTGTAGGTTCTTCAAAAGATCTTTGCCAGGTTAAGAAAGTTTAATAATATTCCTACTTTGTTTAGGATTTATTATCAGAAGTTGGTGTAGAACGTTGTCAAGGATGTTTCTGTGGCTGAAGAGATGATCATATCTTTTCTCAACTTTTAATTTTTAATTATTTAAAGTGGTAAATTTCATTGTTTCATTTAAGAACGTGAAATCAACTTTACCTTCTGGCAATAGAGCCCACTGGGTCATAGTGCATTCATTTTTTGTGTATTGTTGGATTCAATTTGCCAAATTTCTTAAAATATTTTCATCTGTGTTCATGAGACATACTGTTCTGTAGTTTTATTTCATGTCTTTACTTTTGATATCACAGTGACTGTGTCCTCACAGAGTGAGTTGGAATATAGTTCTTATTCTGAAAGACGCTGTGAATAACTGGTGATACTTATCCTTAATTTTTTTTTTTTTTTTTTTTTTTTTTTTGAGACGGAGTCTCGCTGTCGCCCAGGCTGGAGTGCAGTGGCGCAATCCCGGCACTTATCCTTAATTTTTTTGATAGAATTATAGTAAAAAACAATTACACTTGTAAGTTTCTTTGTTGGAAGAAATGTAAAAGCAAATTTTAATTATTTTAATAGACAAGGGGCAATCAAGTTGGTCTATTCCTTCCCAAGTGAGTTTAATAGTTTACGTTTTTCAAGAAAATTATATTTGCTTTTCACGTGTTCAAATTTTTTAGCATAATGTTGTTCACAATATTATTTTAATATCCATCAAATATCTATTTGATCTCTAATGATGTCAACCTCATCACTCCCATTATTGTTTTTTTTTCTCTTTTTTTGGTCTGACTAGAAGTTTATCGATTTAATTAATTTACTCAAAGAACCAGGTTTTTGTTTCATAGGTACATTTTATTGTTTTGTTTTTAAACTTAAGTCTGGTCTTTAGTATCTCTGTTTAAATTTTTAAATTTTAAATTTTTATTTTCGTGGGCATATAGTAGGCGCATATATTTGTGGGGCACAAGAGATTCTGTGACATAGGCATACAATGCATAGTAATCCATCAAGGGAAATGGAGGATCCATCATCTTGAGCATTTATCCTTTCCTTTTGTTACAAAAGGAGCCAATTTTACACTTCTAGCTATTTTTAAATGTACAATGAGTTATTGTTGACTGTAGTCACCCTGCTGTGCTATTGAATACCAGATCTTCTTCATTCTTATTCATTGTTCCTAACTATATAACCATATATATATATATATATACACATACAGATTGTTTGCTGAATTTTGTATGTTTGTACAGATGTACAGATGTTTGTACAGTATAAACTATATATAGTTTATACCATATATAAACTATATATACAACTATAAATAGTAACATAGATGGATATATATATCTATGTATGTAACTATAACTATATATTTATAGTAACTATATATAGTTACATATATAGATAGATATATATATCCATCTATGTTACTATATAATTATTTTTGCCTTATTTGACTTGCTAGAATCTCCAATTCAATGTTTAATAGAAATGGTCAGAATGGACATTTTTGCTTTGCTCCCAATATTAAGAAGAAAACTTAATATTTTAACATTAAGTGTGATGTTTGCTGTAGGTTCTTCAAAAGTTTTATATATATATAACTATATATATAGTAAGGACAATGTCACTGAGATATCAAAACTAAAGACATGAAATAAAACTACAGAACAGTATGTCTCATGAACACAGATGAAAATATTTCAAGAAATTTGGCAAATTGAATCCAACAATACACCATATATATATATATATATATATATATATATATTTTTTTTTTTTTTTTTTTTTTTTTTTTTGAGACGGAGTTTCACTCTCATCACCCAGACTGGAGTGCAATGGCATGATCTTGGCTCACTGCAATATCTGCTTCCTGGGTTCAAACGACTCTCTTGCCTCACTCTCCCGAGTAGCTGGGATTACAGGCACCCGCCACCACACCAGCTAATTTTTGTATTTTTAGTAGAGATGGGGTTTCACCATGTTGGCTAGGCTGGTCTCAAACTCCTGACCTCAGGTAATCCAGCGGCCTCGGCCTTCCGAACTGCTGGGATTACAGGCATGAACCACTGCACCCGGCTCCTAACTATATTTTTTTACCCGTTAGCCACTCTCCCTCCCAACACCACTACACTCCCCAGATTCAGGTAAATGTTGTTCTATTCTATCTCCATGAGCTCAATTGTTTTAATTTTTACCTCCTACAAATAAGTGAAAACATATGAAGTTGGTCTTTCTGTGCCTGGCTTATTTTACTTAACATAATAACTTCTCCATCCATGTTGTTGCAAATGACTGGATCTTATTCATTTTATGGCTGAGTAACACTCTGTTGTGTGTATGTACCACATTTTCTTTATCCATTCATCTGTCGATGGACACTTAGTTTGCTTCCAAGTTTGGCTACTGTGAATGGTGCTGCCATAAACATCGGAGTGAAGATATGTCTTTGATATACTGATTTCCTTTATTTAAGGTATATACTTAGGAGTGGAATTGATGGATCATATGGTAGGTCTATTTATAGTTTTTTGAGGAACCTCTAAAGTGCTCTCCATAGTGGTTGTACTAATTTACATCCCTACCAGTAGTGTACAAGGTTTCCCTTTCCTCCACATCCTCACCAGCATTTGCTACTGCCTGTCTTGTACAAAAGGCATTTTAACTGGGGTGAGATGATCTCTCATTGTAGTTTTGATTTGCATTTCTCTGCTGAACAGTGATGTTGAGCACCTTTTCATATACCTGTTTGCCATTTGTATGTCTTTTGAGACACGTCTATTTAAATTTTTGCCCTTTTTTATTTGGATTATTCGATTTTTCTTCCTATAGAGTTGTTTGACTTCCTTATATATTCTGGTTATTAATCCCTCATCAGATGGATAGTTTTCAAATATTTTCTCCCATTTTGCAGATTTTCCTGTCACTTTGCTGATTGTTTCCTGTGCTGTGCAGAAGTTTTCTTTAACTTGCTGTGATTCCATTTGTTCATTTTTGCTTTAGTTGCCTGTGCTTATGGGGTAGTACTCAAGAAACCTTCGCCCAGTCCAACGTCCTGGACGGTTTCCTCAATGCTTTATTTTAGTAATTTCATAATTTGAGATCTTAGATTTACATCTTTAATCTATTTTGATTTCCTTTTTGTGTATGTACAAAGAGGGATCTAGTTTCATTCTTTTGCATGTAGATATCTAATTTTCCCAGCACTATTTATTGAAGAGGCCTTTTGTGGGCGGAGGATTACCTAGGTGCAGAAGCAAGAGACTGAAGGCACGAACTGTTTCAGTATAATAAAGAAAATAATTAGAATAAGAATAGTCATAATACAAATTAGATATAGAGATGAACATGGACAATTATCAATCATTATGATAAACATTATTAATCATTAGCTTTTAATATTGGTCTTTGTTGCATTACTAATATAACCTAGGAATAACCGGCGGGTATAGGGTCATTTGCTGAAGGGACATTGTGAGAAGTGACCTAGAAGGCAAGAGCTGAGCCTTCCATCACGCCCGCATAAGGGCCGCTTGAGGGCTCCTTGGTCAAGCAGTAACGCCAGTGTCTGGGAAGACACCCGTTACTTAGCAGACCGCAAAAGGCACTCTCCTTTCCTTGGAGGAGTCAGGG
Organism: Homo sapiens; assembly: GCF_000001405.40. Classification (NCBI taxonomy): domain Eukaryota; kingdom Metazoa; phylum Chordata; class Mammalia; order Primates; family Hominidae; genus Homo; species Homo sapiens. The sequence goes on along the minus strand of NC_000008.11, from coordinate 14,028,178 downwards.
AACACTCTGCTACCAGCTTCTTGTGGAAGGCTAGATATTATCCAGGCCTGCCCGCAGTCATCAACAGGCCTAAACCCCTCCCTGTGGTGCTGTGCTTCAATGGTCGTGTTCCTTGTCCACTTTCATGTTCCTCCCGTACTCCTGGTTCCTCTTTGAAGTTCGTAGTACATAGCGATAGAAGGAATACTGAAAGTCTTAAAGTTTTTTATCTTTCTTATAAGTGCATAGAAGAAAACGCTGACGTATGCTGCCTTCTCTCTCTCTGCTTTGGCTATCTAAAAGGGAAGGGCCCCCGTCCTTTGATCACGTGACTTGTTTCACCTTTTCAATCACTTAGAAAAGTCACCCTCCTTACCCTGCCCCCTTGTCTTGTATGCAGTAAATATCAGCGCACCCAGCCGTTTGGGGCTACAGGTCTCTGTGTCTTGGTGGTAGTAGTACCCCGGGCCCAGCTGTTTTCTCTTTATCTCTTTGTCTTGTGTCTTTATTTCTTACAATCTCTTGTCTCCGCACAGAGGGAGAACACCCACTAAGCCACGTAAGGGTGGACCCTACAAGCTGTCCTTTCCCCAATGTATGTTCTTGGCAATTTTGTTGAAAATGAATTCACTGTAGATATAGAAATTTCATTCTGGGTCCTTTAGTCAGTTTCACTAGTCTATGTATCCAGGTTTATGCAGTATCATACTGGTTTGCTTACTAAGGCTTTGAAGTATAATTTGAAGTCAGGTAATGTGATTCCTTCAGTTTTGATCTTTTTGCTTAGAATAGCTTGGTCATGCTGGATCTTTTGTGGTTCCACATAAATTTTAGTAATTTTTAGTATTTCTGTTAAGAATGTCATTGGTATTTTAATAAGAAATTAATTTAATAAGAAATTAATTAATTTTAATAATTAATTAAGAATTAATTTAATAAGAAATAAGAAATTAATTTCTTATTAGATTGTTTTAAGTAGTATAGACATTTTAACAATATTGATTCTTTCAATTCATGAACATGGAATATCTTTTCATTTATTTGTCTTCCCTTCAATTTCTTTCATCAGTGTTTTATAGTTTTCATTGTAGAGATCTTTCACTTCTTTGGTTAATTCCCAGGTACTTTCTTTTTATTTGTAGCTATTGTAAAAGGGATTATTTTCTTTTAGAAGTTATTTGCTGTATAGAAATGCTGCTGATTTTTGTATGTTTATTTTGTATCTTGCAACTTTACTGAATTTGTTTAACAGTTCTAATAGTTTTTTAGGGAGTCTTTCTTTCTTTTTTTTTTTTTTTTTTTTTTTGGTAAACTTCAGATCACATAATCTGCAAACAAGCATAGTTTGACTTCTTCCTTTCCAGTTTAGATACTCTTTCCTTCTGTTGTCTGATGGCTCTGGCTTCCAGTACTATGGTGAAAAACAGTGGTGAAAGTGGGCTCCTTTTTCATGTACCAGATCTGAGAGAAAATGTTTTCAGTTTTTCCCATTCAGTATGATACTAGTTGTGGTTTTGTCATTTATGGTTTTTATTGTGTTGAGCTATGTTCTTTCTGTATTAAGTTTTTTGAGGGATTTTATCATGAAGGGATGCTGAATTTTATCAAATGCCTTTTCAGCATCAATTAAAATGATCACATGGTTTTTGTCCTTTATTTTGTTGATATAATGCGTCACACTGACTAATTTGCATACGTTTAAGCATCTTTGCATTCCTTGGATAAATTCAACTTGGCCATGTTGAATGTTCTTTTTAATGTTTTGTTGAATTCATTTTGCTAGTATTTTGTTGAGGATTTTTACCTCAATGCTCATAGGGATATTGATCTGTAGTTTTCTTTTTTTGATGTTTGTCTTCTTTTGGTATCATGGTAATACTGGCCTCATAGAATAAGTTTGGAAGTATTCCCTTCTACTCCATTTTTTGGAAGATTTAAGTAGGATTAATATGAATTTTTCTTTAAATGTTTGGTAGAATTAATCTGTGGAGCCATCAGTTCCCAGGCTGTTCTTTGCTGGGTTACTTTTTATTATGGCTTTAATCTCATTACTTTTTATTGGTCTGTTCAGGTTTTATATTTCCTCATGGTTCATTCTTGGTAGGTTGTATGTATCTAGGAATTTATTCATTTCTTCTAGGTTTTTAGTTTATTGGTTTATAGTTCCTCATAGTAGCCTCTAATTATTCCATAAATTCCTGTGGTAAGAGTTGTAATGTCTCCTTTTTCATCTCTGATTTTACTTATTTGGGTCACCTATCTTTTTTTTCTTAGGCTGTCTAATGATCTTTACTATTTTCTTTCTTTTGATTATGTTAGATTTAAAGCCTCTTCTTTGTCTTGATTTATAAGGCGGGAGGATTGCTTGAGCCCAGGGAAGAGAAGGCTGCAGTGAGATGTAATTGTGCCATTGTACTCCTGCTTGGGTAACAGTGAGACCTTGTCTAAAAAAAGAAAAAAAAAACAGCCATCTTTCTCTTTTCTTCTATTACTCTTTTCTGCTTATTTTATTATTTAAATATTATTTTAGAATATCATTCTAATTATCTATTGTATTTTTTACTAATTGCTTTATTATTTTGATTGTTCCATGAATTGCAATATATATGGTTAGCTTTTTGCAGTCTACTTATTAACCCCACGAAATGGTGAGAATTTTTAAACATTCATAAATATTTTAAATGAAATAAAAGGAATAATATAGTCTGAAACTTTATTCAGATATTCACAATTTCTGACTTTTCTATTTTGTTATTATTATTATTATTTGAGACAGAGTCTCGCTCTGTTGCCCAGGCTGAAGTGCAGTGGCGCAATCTCGGCTCACTGCAAGCTCCGCCTCCCGGGTTCACACCATTCTCCTGCCTCAGCCTCCAGAGTACTTGGGACTACAGGCGCCCGCCACTACGCCCGGCTAATTTTTTGTATGTTTAGTAGAGACAGGGTTTCACTGTGTTAGCCAGGATGGTCTTGATCTCCTGACCTCGTGACCAGCCCACCTCGGCCTCCCAAAGTGCTGGGATTACAGGCGTGAGCCACCGCGCCCGACCTGACTTTTCTATTCTTAAAGATTCAAGTTTTACTATAACATTTCCTTTCAATCTGAAGAAATATTTTTAGAATACCTTACAGTGCGAATCCGCAGATAATAAATTTAATATGCTTCTATTAATTAATGTTCATTTGAGGAGGACCTCTTTTAAGAGATGGAGTCTTTACTGTGTTGTCCAGGCTTGAGTGCAGCAGCTACTTACAGGCACAATCATTGCACACTACAGGCTCGAACTCCTTGGCTCAAGCAATGCTCCTGCCCCAACCTCCCGAGTAGCTGGGACTACAAGCATGCACCACTATGCCTTGCCTGGTTTAAGATGATACAGAATGTTAGATTGACAATCTTTGTTCTCACGACTTTAAACATCTATTTTTACTATTTTCTAGCTTTCTTCATTTCTAATGTAAAGTCCACAGTTATACAAATGGTCATATCCCATATGTAATTTGTTAGTTTTTTGTTTTTTTGTTTTTGTTTCTGTTTTTTTTTTTTTTTTTTGGTTGCTTTCAAGAATTTTTCTTATAGCTTGACTATGGTGTGCCTAGGCATACTTAGCTATCCAAATTTGCCATTTGCTGAACTTGTAGAATTTATGCCTTTCAGTAATTTAGGAATATTTTCAGTCAATTTTTTTCTGTTTATTTCTCCCTCTCTCCTTTCTTTCTAAGAATATAATTACCCATACTATATTGAAATTGTTCCAGAGCTCTCTGGGATCATCTTCATTTTTTTCATCACTTTTTTTTTCTCACAATTTCAGATTGAATGGGGCCTATTGATTCATCGCCAAGCTCGTTGATTTTTTTTTTCCCTTGTCACATTCACTCTCTGATTAAGCAGATATCTTGGATATATTTCTCAGTTTTAGAATTCTTTTTGGTTCTTTTACATATTTTTTCCATTTTGATGAGATTTACTATTCTTCCAGTTCACTATGAGCATAATTTCTTCATTGACCATAGCTAAAATATTTACTTTAAAGTCTTTGTCTCATCATCCCAACATCAGGGACATTTTGCAGTTGCCATCTGGTGATTAACTTTTCCACTGACAGTGGGTCATATTTTTGCAGTTCTCCATATGTTTAGTAGTTTTAAAATGTTTCCAGGACATTATAAATATTGTGCTGAAGAGGCCCTGGGTTCCGCTCTACCCTTTAGAAATGTGTGGTTGTTTTTGTTTTAGCAGGCAATTAACTTGGTGCCACGCAAACTAGAAACCTGTTTACCTGCAGAGCCTGGCAGCTGAAATCTCTGTTAAGAAAGTTTTTGATGTACCCTGTGCCTGTGAGGTTCCTGGGTCAGCCAGTGGCAAAGTTGATGCCCAGACTTTTGAGTTCCATTATTTGTCTCTCTCCTTTCTTACCTCCCATGTCATTCTCTGCTGGCTCTGATTGCCCTGGCTCCTTCTCCTAGTTTTTCTGGAATAAAAGAGAGAATGTTTTTCTATTGAGGCATTAGCTGACCAGTGCCATGCCACAAATTCTAGTGCCCTCAGGAGAGGAACAGAAAATAAGTGAAACTCAACTTATGTAGATTATTTCCTCCAATTGTTGTCTCCCTGCCAAAAGTCTGCTTGTTCACTTTACAGAACCTTCAGGTTTTTTTTTTTATTTTTTCATGGTTTATTTTTGCTATTTTTCAGAAGATTCTATTTTTAGGAATTTTTCATAGACACAGCAGATTGCTAAGTCACAATTTGACCTACAATAAAAATTTAAGTTCCTTTGAATGAACTTAAACAATACGGATTTTTCCCTTATTTGAGAGAATTATTTGATGCACCTGATCCTGTAATGAGTTACCTTTGCTGTCAGTATTATATTCATGAAGTTCCTGTAGGAACTGGAAAGACCAGAGAAAGAACTGAATGGGTAATACAAGAAACCTGATTAAAACAAATTTATACAGCGGAAGAAAAGTATGTAGTGAAAACTTTTTTTTAGTCAAACAAAGTTATTTCTACTAACACATCTCTAAAAGTAGCCCAGTTTCTCACTGTCACTGTGGACCTAGAGCAAAGAAGATACTTAGAAGAACAGCTAAAGGAAATTAGTAGAAAATTGCAAGCAGTGGATTCAGGGTTGATTGTCTTACGTGAAACAAGCAAACATCTGGAGCACAAAGACAATGAACTTAGACAAAAGAAGAAGGAGCTTCTTGAGAGAAAAACCAAGAAAAAACCGGAACAAAAAATCAGTTCCAAACTAGGAAGTTTAAAGCTGATGGAACAGGATACTTGCAACCTTGAAGAGGAAGAGCGAAAAGCAAGTAGCAAAATCAAAGAAATAAATGTTCAAAAAGCAAAACTTGTTACAGAATGAACAAACCTAATAAAGATTTGTACTTCTTTGCATATACAAAAAGTAGATTTAATTTTCCAAAATACTACAGTGATCTCTGAGAAGAGCAAATAAGAATCAGATTATACGGCCGCATCTTCACAACTCCGTCTTACAGAGGGTACATCACCCTCCTCACGCATCTACATGTTCACCAACCAAGAGGCTCTACCAAGCTTCAGGACTCAGGTTTCTTACTGGGGTTTCATTATGTAGACATGGTTGATTGAATCATTGGCCATGTGGTTGAGCTTGATCATCAGCCCTATTCCCTGCAGTTTGGGAAGTTGGGCTGAAATCATGTGGCTCAAAGACATGTATATGGCTCAAATCACACAGTTGATCTTTGTGGCATTTTCTACCCCCATCCTGAGTCATATTCTTAGCATTAATTCAGGAGTGATCCAAGGGGCTCATGAATAATACACACTTTCCTATTGGTGAGTTCCAAGAACTTTAGAGGAACCAGCAACAAAGCCCAGTCAAATTCTTTATTATACAACACCTTTGAACTCCAGAATACAAGTGGGTAAAATAAATCAGCAGCAGCATCAAGACTAGCATGGTATCAGCAAGGGACGGCTCAGAGAATCCAAATATCAGGTTGCCAGCATCCTGATCATCTCTAAAGGTCCTATTAGTGGTAGAATTCTTAGAGATCAATTTGAGAGAAGCTAAAACTTGGAGGCAACCTTACAGACTTCAGAAAGGTTGGATAGTGCTGGGGTGATCTAGCCCTGTGAACTCTCAAACTAACTGAAACTCCTTTACAGAACAAAACTTCTTACTGAAGAGAACTAGAGCTACATGATAAAGGAGACCATAAAATATATATTCTGTGATTATAAGTCTGACAATGTAACTAAAGCACATTTCTCTGAAAATGCAAGAAGGGAAATAATGCAAGTAAAATAGAATATATTTACTGATTGTCCTGTAGGTATTTTCAGGAAATAAAAAGTTATTACTTCAAATTAGATGTTTTGGGAGAGGAAAATAAGGGAGAATTTCAAAGTTAATTATAGTGGGGAGCCAAAAGATAGCATCCCCCACAACTATTAGGACATAAGGATATTATATAAAATATTTGCATAATAACCTTTAGAATAAAAATAAAAGCCTTCCTAAATACCAAAAAAGATTATACAAAGACAAGAGACTGGCAGGGCAAGAAAATCACATAACTAAAGACTGGATATTTTATTTACAAATACAAGAGACATAAAAACAAATAGGTCATAAAACAGTGGCAGAGCTAAGGCCAAACATCAGTTGTATTATTAAATACAAATGGATATAATTCACCTATTAAAATATTTTTGGGAAGTAAATGACAACATTGTGCAGAATGTGAGAGGTACATCTAAAAGAAAGAGACTGAGAAAGCTTTAAAATAAAAGGATGGATGGGTGCAAGGGATCTTTTTGGGTGATGGAAATGTAAAATTGGACTGTGGTGATGTCTACATAGCTCTGTAAATTTACTAACAGTCATTGAACTGTACACTTCAAATGAGCAAATTTTATGGTACCTCATGAGGTATATGGTACCTTTATGAGGTATATAAATTGTACCTCATTGAAACTTAAGTAAATGGATGAACAAAGGTGTACCAGGCAAATGGAAATACAAATTTTAAAAAGCTTAAATATCTTCACATGCTGCTATGGAGTGATACATATATTCATAGGTCTAAAAAAGAAAAGAGAGAAAACTTTATAGTATGTTACTATCAAAGAAAGGATCAGGGAAAGTGATTACTATGCTTTATGTTGGCTTACTTAAAAACTACAATGATAAACCAGAATCGTTTTTTTTTTTTAACTGGGGATGGGAAAAGACAAGGTTAAAAGCTACACTCATCTAAATAGATCTTATATTTTTTTCCACTTTGGAACCATCTGCCAACAAAACTAAATGAAATTTTCCAAAAAGACAAGCTTAGTAAAAGCACAATGAAACAAATGCATCTAACTTTGTTTTGAGTTAGCAACATAGCCTCACAGAGAAAAATTACTCCAAATGACTATAAAACACTGTAATGATTCTAAGGGCAAAAAAAAAAAAAATTGCAAAAAAAATCATGTACTGTTTTCAGTAATCACAATGTTAATAATATTTCTAATGTTATTCTGAAAATATTATAGAGTAAATAAGTAGTTATGTTAATGTAGTTACAGTTTTTCAGCATAAGAGAAAATGTAAACATCAGAATGAACTCACAATGTATTTTCTCAAAAAAACAAACATTTCCTAGCTTTGTCTACTAAAAAGACCTGGATTATGACTTCTTAATACTATTTTCCACTAAAACTGCCCATTGGAGAAATGGCCGATTTCAGGTCCAGGAGAAGAAATGTTTATGTAAGATTAGCCATGATCATCTTGTCATAACAAAAATCAAAGAAATTACCAAAGATGACTTAGTTATCAACAGGACCCAGGAGCCTACATGAAGAATCTTTTACCCGCCATACATGAAGAGATAATAGATGGAAACTTATCAAAAATGTCTAAATGCACAAGTTTATAATGATGCTAAAATAAAATAATATTGGTCACTTTGGAGGAAAAAAAATTTAAGTTCAATTTGTTTTTTTCTCTTTTTCTACTCCAAATATAATATTTATTTTATTCCAGTGCTGCAATTTTAACAGACTTAAATTTGATTTCATTATAGTAAAAGTGATTTTCTGTTTGCTTTTAGAAACTTCTACATACTGAAGAATAGCTCCAAACCAGAAGCTAATGTGTGAGTCCCGATAAGTTCAATGAAAGAGAAAGAGATGAGTAGGTCAAAGAGGCAAAGGAGTCACAGAACTGCAGTTGATCAAGGTTGCCAAGCAACTAATACGGTCAAAATTTTATTTTTTATGCTTTAGGAAGTATAAATTTTTGGAGGAGGCATTTGATTTGGATTGCTATCCAACAACCCTGTGAATTTAGAGGGGAAATTATGATAGAGAAGTGAATATCTGAGGATGGTCTAAATTTCCAGCATTAGAATCAATTCCTTACCAGCATACCTTTTTCAATTCCCTTCCATTATCAACGTGGGGAGCTGCCCCGGGTGGATTGGGCTTTTAAAGTTAATTTCAATGGCAAGTGATAGACAACGATTTTCCCAAGAAGGCAAAGATTCCAAGAATATCAAGCTGTTTATGTACTTCACATTTAGATAGCAAGAAACTTCAGGCTTTTAGGCCTTTACTGTTTTACTCATTTATTTTCTACTAACTACTGTTGAACTTCTCCCATCATGTGAAAACAGCAGTAAGGAAAGCAACAGTTTGGGATTATAGCATCTAACTTCCTCTTCTTGCCACGGGCAACTCTTCAATCAATAAATTCTCTTTTTTAAAGAATGCCTTGCTTATTTTTTGTCTTCAATACACCATTTTACAATTTACTTATAATGCAGTATTATCTTATGCATCTATGTGTCTACATTGGAATGTTTTAATTGTGTTTTTGCTTCCTTTGTCTTGTTTTTGTATTTTAACTTATCCCATAAGAATATTTTTCTGTTATACTCTGAAGTAAAAATAAAAGAAGAAAACAATAAATACCAAATAAAATTTAGGCTACCACTAAGTATGTTGTGATCTAAACCCAGCTGTTTTACAAGGTACTAAAATGAAATCTAGGTTTCTCATGCTGGCAAGAACTCTTTTAAGAGTTTTAGTTTTTAACTCAAATTATTCATGGAAGTAATATTCAAAAATATTCCAATTAGTACTATTTGAATATTTTACTTTGTCCCATTAGAAGTGGGTAATTTAATGGATTAGATTATTGCCCTGAGACATTCATTAGTCATTTATAATTATGTCTTGCTTATAGAATTAAGAAATGGAAAGTTGTTTTTTAATAATCCAGTGATGCAGTAATCTTTTCTTTTTTAATTAAAAATTAATCTGCCTCCTAATGAAGACAAATAAAACATCAAATCTAATTAAGATTATGTGAAAGGTTGTGTTAGCCTCAGTTAAGAGCCCTAACAAACAACAAATTTCATAAATACCAAAGCCCATCTTGTTCCTTTTCTAGAAGGTCCTAGGGGTAAAAGCAGCTGCAGAATATTATTCCTACTTTTGCTTTAATTGCCTTTAATAGACGAGCTGGAGAAAGCATTATACATAATGCATCATGTTTTGCATAAAGGTAAACAGAGCAAATGTGCCAGGTGAAAAGTTTATGACAATATATTTTAATAACCAGGCTATTTCTTGAATTACATTTTACTTCTATGTCCAACAGCTAGGAGGAAGGGAGCTATAAAACTAAGAAGAAAAATAAATTACAGAAGAGTTAAAAAGGCACTAATGGTAAACAGGAAACAATAAGAAAAAAGTCAAGATACATCCAAGGGAAGATTATTTCATTATTTTAAAAATTTCTTAAGACTAAATTTTAGGTACTATATTAGATTGTGTAGATGATAAAACAGTGGACCTTACCCTCAAGAATTTCATGGTGTTAGAAGAAAAGAAACAAATATAAAGCAATATACCTTATACAAACAATACATCTTCAAAATACCAAAATAAAAATCTGTTCAAAGTAATGCTGGAGCTCTGAAGATGCATGACTAATTCCGTGTTGGGGAATCAGAAAAATGTTTAACAAGAAAAATATAAACAAGTTCCTGAAGAACAAAAATTCCAAGCAAAGCATATTAGGTAGGGGACACATACACAAAGATTGCATGATACTTTCATGACGATTAAAAAAAATTTGCAAAAAGATAGTGGTGTATGGTCACACTAGAAAGCCATTTCTTTCATCAGATTTCAAAGAGAGGCAGATGCCATGACACAGAAGTTGCAACTGTGTAGAAATGAACAGCACTTAAAATTTTCAAAGCTTTAATGGTCAGATTAAATAATTTATTTAAAATTATTAAATGTTAAAAAAATCCAAAACTTCTGGGAAAAACATATGTAGCAGAGTTTTAATTCTATGAAAGTTTTCTAGAATTCTACCTTCTCTAATTTTGATGTGTGTCTAGGTTCTTAGCTCAAAACATAACTCTTGGCTTTGCTTGCTATATGAATAGTCTAAAAGTGAGGCCACAGCTGGTGTCTTGCATAGGAAGGAGGTTACAATCACCATAAAGTGTTTTAGCAAATTTCACTTGAATCATATTTTGAAAATGATATGAACTTTTGAAATAGTTCAACACAACAGAAAAAAATTACCCCATAGAGAAATTTAAAATATAAAACATTTACACCAACTATTTTTTGAAACAACAGTGAGTTATTTGCATTCATATGATATCTTCACTAGAATTAAATCAGCAGCAGGTAGGTAAGGAATTAAGATCACCTTTGAAGTTATAAAGTTGAATCCCAATTCAAATGGATTTGATTCTTGTACATTGTTATCAGGATTATTTGGGCATGGCATGAGATAAAACCATATGACTGAATCTGTTCAAATTTTAAAGAGCTTTGGAGTTATAAATTATGAAGTAAGAAATTAAGATGAAATGTAGCTCTGTTTGATCCACCTCTTTATGCTGATGCTCAGATTGTGTAGTGGTGGCTCTGTTGGTTGTTAAAAATATGGAATCACTTCTGTACTGGTTAAATAACTAGCCACCTGAGCCCCACATCCATGCTGCCTCAGCAGCACTGGCCAGTCTCTGTGGACCTCTCAAACTCCCCCGACCCATTTCAACAGCCAAGATTAAAGGTTCAGTGCATGACATGACAGGGAAACCCTTGTATCTGACTTCATTGGTCATGCACTCTACCAGTGATTAAATGTCCACATCCGCTTTTATTCAACAAACACATTCCAGGTAAATGACAGCCACATGCTCCACTAGACATTTGGTATACACTGAATTAGACATAACAAACTAACAGATATTGTTTTAGTCTTCATGAAATTCTACAGGAGGATAAAACAAAGTCAGTCACGATAAATCAGGTGCATAATTAAAAAAACATGTTAACTACTAAAGAACAAAATATAGGATACTACAAAGGGTAAATACTGGCTAAATTTATATTGAGGGGAAAAATAAGCCATCATTGGTATATTAATTAAGACCTGAAAAAATGAGATGATAGTAACAAAACAAAGAGTGCTTGGGCAAGGCAAACATGTTAGGGATATTTCTTTGGCCGCTGAGACAAAAAGCCGATTAAGTAGAGAAAAGCCAAAACGAGGAAAGGAGTATTAAAGCTATATCACTTACTTTCATGATGGAAACTTCTTGGCTTTGTATATAGGATTGCATTACTTTCTGTGAGTCCTTAGTCATTTGTCTATTCTTCTAGATCTCAACTGATTCACCACTGCAAATTTTATGTTACCTATATCCAGGCAACTAGTATGTAATACCTATTCATTGCATAGTTCCTGGAATATAGCAGGTGGTTAATCAATCTTTATCTTGATCTAAATATTCAGTATCTGTAAGAAACTTAAATTTACAAGTAGAAAAATACAAAGCACTCCATAAAAAAATGGGCAAACACTTTACAAAAGAAGACATACATATGGCCAACAATCATATGAAAAAAGTTCAACAACACTGATCATTAGAGAAATGCAAATCAAAACCACGATGAGATACTATCTCACATGAGTCACAATGGCTATTATTAAAATGACAAGAAATAACAGATGCTGGCATTGTCGTAGAGAAAATGAATGCTTATACTCATTGGATGGACTGTAAATTAGTTCAGCTGTCGTGGCAGACAGTGTGGCAATTCCTCAAACTCCTAAACACAGAAATTACATTCAACCCTGCAATCCTATTACTGAACATATACCCAAACGAATGTAAATTGTTCTATTATAAAGACATATGCACACACATGTATATTACAACACTATTCATAATAGCAAAGACATGGAATAAACACAAATACCTATCAATGATAGACTGGATAAAGAAAATGTGTACATGTGCACTGTGGAATACTACGCAGCCATAAAAAAGAATGAGATTATGTCTTTTGCAGGGACACAAATGGATCTGGAGGCCATTATCCTTAGCAAACTAAATCAGGAACAGAAAATCAAACAGTATATGTTCTCACTTATAAGTGGGAGCTAAACGATGAGAACACATGGACATATAGAGGGTAGCAACACACACTGGGGCCTATAGGAGATTGGAGGGTGGGAGGAAAGAGAGGATTGTGAAAAATAACTCATCAGTACAGGGCTTAATACCTGACTGAATGAAATAATCTGTACAACAAAGCCTCATGACACAAGTTTAACCTATATAACAAATCTTCACATGCTCCCCTGAACTTAAAATAAAACAGATATAAATAAAAAGTAAAATTTATTGAAATTTGTTTTATGTTCCCCTCAAAATAAATAATAAATGTTTGCCTTTTAGAAGAATATATTTGTGAAATGAGAATGAAAATACTGTAAATAGTTGTAGTAATGATTACATTTTCAATATGTATGGTAACTACATATGTATTTATACATAAATATATGGTCATTTTTATTTTTTTATATATATATCCACAAGCATATATAATGTGTGTGTGTGTGTGTGTGTGTATATATATATATATATATAGAGAGAGAGAGAGAGAGAGAGATAGCTGAGTAGAGTGACTAAGTCAAGGTAGATACTAACAAGTATTAGTTACCTGCCCACCTATCATAAATATATTTTCAAAGACAGTTTATTATATTGAATAACTCTTCAAAAATGTGGAGTGAGGGCAAGTTATAGGCTTGATATCCCAACAAAACTTTTAAGAATTGACAAAATACATAAAATTTTTTAAAAGAAATCAAAATAATAAATGAAAAGAGTGGACTGTTAAGAAAGAGTATGCACAGGATCACTCCAAAACTAAAACATGAGTGTACTGAAAAGTGGCCAAGTCTAAAGACTAAGTATCTTTTTTCAGTTCCCAGCATAGGTCTGGTAGCAGCTACAGGTAGCAGAATAAGTGAGAACACGGATCAATAAAGTAGAGTGAGCTAATAGTCTTCTATGTTTTATTCTCATCATTTTCCTTTACTAAAGTAATGTATCAAGTTTATAATGGCTTCCCAGTTATAAATTAGATTTACCAGATTTTCTTAAAGGTAGGTGTGGCCAGGAGAAGAATTTTGACCATGAATATTTATTATATTTCTTGACTTGGACATTTTCAGCCATCTGGGTCACTAGCCTGTCTCTATAACTCAATTAGATAGAATCCAAACTAAGCTGCTATAACAACAATAAAAACGAAAAAAAAAAACCCTCAAAATATAGTCAATTATATTTCTCTCCTATGAAATATTACATAATAAGGGGCCTCTTGCTGGCTGGTTGCCTGTGCTCCAAAAGATCACTGAGTTTATTTATAGTACAGATTATTATTTCTTCTTCTCACCCTCATCCTCTTTCTTCCTCATTCTTTCATTTCTGATTCTCTTTTCCATCATTTATAACTTCATTATACATCTATAATTAATGGTGATTTACTTAATGTGACTCTCCTGCTTCCATCTCTATGAAGACTATTTTTGGTTGATCTCGAGATCTGCTTTCTATCATGTAAGATAAAGACAGAAGTCAAAAATATATATAGAAATAGAGTTAATTTAACAAGTAGGAATTGGTACTAGTGGATATTCCTGTATTTAAAAGATATGACAGGATTTTGTATGCATATGACAAAAAATCTAGAGATAATGGACATTAAAAACTTAAATGTTATAAAAATGCAATAGATGGGAAGATTAACCAAACAGATATGGTTAAAGGGGGAATTAGTTAGTTAGAATATCAAGTCAAGGAATATCCTCAGGATTCAGTACATCAGGTTATGGGAAGTATTAAAGAAATATTAAAAGATTTAGAAGACAGAGGCAGAACTTTAAAATCCAGCTAACAGAGGTTCTAGAAGAAGGATTAGAGAGAATGATGAAAAGGCAATTTTGAATATGTAACTGAGGCATAGCCAGATAAAGTCAAGTGTTCTGATACAGAATGCAGCTTGAAGCATTAATCACAGTACTTAGCATTTAGAAGGTGTTCAACAAACAGGAGATGTTACTATTAGTAGTAGTAGTAAGCAGGAAGAAGTCACAATGAAATTGCAAAGCAGCATTTGTACAAGGTATTATGTTTGGGATATCAAAACCATCACTTTTCTGTATTTATGATGGAAAAAACATCACATTTCATAACTGATTTTGATTAAAATTATTGACTATAATTTTTTATAATCATAATTTATTAACAAAACACATTTCTTTTGAAACATATAATTTTCATTCTCCTTTTGCTGGTTGTTGGTTTGATACATATGCTGCCATTATTAAGTAGTAACTGTATTAGAGCACAGGTTATAACTATTTTAAAAAAGTAGTTATTGCTGAGATGGCAGACTTTTTGGAGACAGAATCATTATTGAGTTAAAGAGCTTTTTGTCAGAGTATGAACTATAAAATTAAAACCTTTGTGCATGAAATGTACAAAAATTATCATTAAGTGACTGTTCTGCCTTCTTACACTTTGCCAAAAAAAAATTATCTTCAGTTCTTCTTTCCCTATGGGTTTTGTTGTTGTAAAAATAAGGTAAGGTTTGATATATTATGTTCCTCTTTTTTAATTAAGATACAAATATTGACTTAGAATATACTTTCATATAGTATTGTTTTGACACTGACAGAAAAATTAGAACATCTGTAGCTGGGCAGTGTGAAATTGTATTAAGCAAGAGGCGAAGAGAAAAAAAATCTGGATTTTAGTCCAAGCATACCTCAGAGATATTGGAGGGTTCTGTTCCACACCACCACACCTGTATGCACTGACATTTTGTTTTAATTCTTAAAAATTCCCAAAATATATTTTTTCTGGCAGGCAAGTTTTCAATTCATCTGACTGACCTTTGATTGCCATCATTTTCAGAGGTTTTCTCAGAAAGTATGTGCTAAATACAGCATTCTCTGCTAATGCACAGAAAATACTGACTTTTCAGACAACACTCTTTGAGCCACTCATTGCTAAATCTGAAAATAAACCTTATTCTTCTTGCAAAAGAAAAGATGACTGATGGAAAATTTTGCAGGGAAAGGCTTACAAATGATTCATCAAACCTGATGAATATATGTGACCTCCTAAGTGGTGGTGGGGGGGATCTCTTGGTTCAAGGCCACAGAAAGACACCAATTATGCTGCACAAAAAAATGTGAGTGTGGAAAATTTGCCATTTTGGAAGAAGAAACTAGAGGAGACAGATTTGCAAAACTTTCTAGAGCTTCAAAGGGTTGAGAGGTACAAAACAGTATTAACTAGGCTGTTGGAAGACATCTTCCAATCCTTGGAAACAATGCAGAGTGCTTTAGAATGTTACATTATCTCAGACAACCTTAATGTTGAAACAGAAAATGTAATCACTTTCTGACTGATGAAGCCATCGATGGCATACACCTGGCCAAATATGATCTCACTTATTGCAGGACAAAGTCAATGTGAGCTCATAAATTCAACTCTGGATGTACTGAAAAATCCTTGTTTTCTCTGACACAAGCCTAACAGTATAGAGCAAAGTCAGTAATGAAAGCCCAGAATTTAACTTCTGTTATATTCCCTTGTGAGTCTCTGGGATTTCAGCACTATATTGTCATCAAAACTAAAAGTCAATATTCATTGGGTTTCAAAAACAACTTCATTCTCAGTAAACTATTGCAAGAACAAAAAACCAAACACCGCATATTCTCACTCATAGGTGGGAATTGAACAATGAGATCACATGGACACAGGAAGGGGAACATCACACACTGGGGCCTGTTGTGGGGTGGGGGGAGGGGGGAGGGATAGCATTGGGAGATATACCTAACGCTAGATGACAAGTTAGTGGGTGCAGTGCACCAGCATGGCACATGTATACATACGTAACTAACCCGCACAATGTGCACATGTACCCTAAAACTTAAAGTATAATTAAAAAAATAAATAAATAAATAAATAAATAAATAACAACTTGACCAATGTTGTACTAAAGATCTAGTTAAAAATCTCAAAATTGTATACGTGCCAAACAACAGCAGCTTTTTCATTAACATTTACTTTAGGTTATAAATAAAATGTACTTTCTATTTTATTCGCCCAATTAAATGCATTTGTCTTTTTCAGGAATGCCAATTAAATTTTACATGAAAAATCAGTAAGAAACAGAAAATCGTTTGGTAAATACATTTATATATCACATGTATATGTCCACTTCAAATAAGTATATTGCATAAATACAATATTTTGCATAGGTCATCATGACATTTTCTGATGTTTCAGTCCTAAGCATTCATTATGTCAACATATTTAAAAACTAATTTGATAAGTGATTTTTATATCACATCTAAAAGCACTTATGACTGCATATACTTATTGAAAATTGATATACTTATTTTAAAAGTACAACCAAATTTTGTGTACATTAGGCAGATAAAGCACAACTATTAAAAGCCTATGTTTATAAGAGACAAAATCTTCTAATGTCTGCAAGCTCCCAATCCACTGTGAATCCTTACCTTTCCCTTCAGTCACTTTATTCTATTATAGAATTCAGTTCTTAAAAGCTCTGTTTTGCTCTCCTGTGATAAAGAATATGAAAAACAATTAAAAAGAGAAGGGATGAAAAAAAGCCAGAGAGGCCAAATCAGGCTATTTAAAATTTGTAATTTGAGAGAGACTTGGGAGAGCAGCAGAGAGGGGAAAGAAAGACGGGAACAGGGTCAGAACCTATTTGTGTTGAGAATTAAATAACTTAATGCATGTAAAGCACTTAACCATACAAATCTCATTTCCTTATACATTTGCATTGTTTTCACTGTCATGATGATCATCATCACCATAAATGACAATCTGGGGATGAAAATGCGAGAGGCCCTAGGGGAGACATGAGACATCAGAGAATAAGAAGTGAGAGTATAGAGAAAGGCTCTTGAAAACCGTCTTCTGTACCACACATTTTGGATTCCCCACGACACTCCGGGAGACATTAAAATAACAAATACGTTTATTGTAAATCACTACTTGATACGGTTTGGCTGTGTCCCCACTCAGATCTCACCTTGAATTGTAATAATCATCATGCATCAAAGCCAGGGCCAGGTGGAGATAATGGAATCATAGAGGTGGTTTCCCCCATACTGTTCTTGTGATAGTGAATAAGTCTCACAAGATCTGATGGCTTTATCAAAGAGAGTTTTGCGGCACAAGCTCTCTTGCCTGCCACCATGTGCATTTGCTTCTCCTTTGCCTTCTGCCATGATTGTGAGGTCTCCCTACCCATGTGGAACTGTGAGTCCGTTAAACCTCTTTTATGAATTACCCAGTCTTGTATATGTCTTTATTAGCAGCGTGACAACAGAGTAATACTCTACTGACTGCAAATCTAGGATTCTTTGTGTATCTGTCTAAGCAGATATTAGGCACTAGAAAGCCCCCAGTTTTTACGTAGATTACAGTTTGAAAGCTATTTTACTGAATTTGTGACCTAAACTTCAACATAAAGCTGCAGTGCACAATATTGTTACCAATGTACTAAAACCAAAATCACAAGGAGCAGAGCGCAGGTCAAGCAGGTAAGTGCTATTATGATTATCAGAAATTTACGGCCATGTTAAAGAACTAACATGAAGATATATTTAAGTAGAAAATTACCTTTCCTCAGCCTTATGAAAATTTACCAAAATTCCCTCATGAAGGTATTATAAACTAGAATTTTTGTTCCAGCCTTCATGGAAATCTAGCCTCTTTAAAAATTAGTATACTTTCCATATGCAAGAAGAAGGCATCTTAGTCCATTTGTGCTCCTCTAACAAAATACCTGAGACTTGGTAATTTGTAAAGAATAGAAGTTTATTTCTCACAGATCTGGAAGGTGGAAGTTCAAGATCAAGGCACCAGTAGATTTGGAGTCTGGTGAGGGCCTTGTCTCTGCTTCTAAGATGACACTTTGATACTGCGTCCTCACAGGGCAGAAAGTGGAAGGGTACAAAGAATCTAGCTCATTCCCTTCAGCCTCCTTTTTAAGGTCAGTAAACTCATTCATGCATGCTCCAGCTCATGACATAATCACCTCCAAAAGCTTCATCTGCTAGTACTATCACAGTGGCTATTAAGCTTCAACACATGAATTTTGGGGGACACAATGAGACCCATCGATCTAAGTCCACAGCTTTGGAGTCTATTTCTTCTAAGGATATGGCTGTTTTGGTTGACTTTCAATTGAAAGCCTTTATAACCTGAAGCTATTCCCATTCAGAAAGTAACCTGCCATGTCAGTGATAATGGAAAACGATTTTGAATTGTGGTGACTCAAGTGATACAAGGATGGAGCTTCAGAACCTAAAAAACACCAAACATCACAGGAGTCCAAAGCCACCAATATTTGATTTCTGTGGAAGAGTATCTTCTTTTCTAGAGACTCAACAGAACTTAATAGATGATGTTTGACATATATATGTCAAATTTATAACTACATGACAATGACTAGGTATATGTTTCATAAATGTTGATTCTGAAGGAACAGCATGTCACTTGTTGAGACTGGAACAGAAGAGCTAGGTGGAGGTGTTTTTGTGTAGGTGTAGCATAGAATAAAATTGTAGTAAATTTGCAAAAGATGATCCCCTCATAGACTCTTCACTGATAATATAGCTACCTATCTTGAAAATATACTGCAGAAAGTATAGGCTTGGACATTTGGAAGTAAAGCAAATCTTTTCCTGCTTGAAATCTGACCTATCCAATGAGGTTTCTATGTTTGACCAACCATTGGCTTCTCTTCCCTAAGGCAACTCAAAACTGGGGTTAGAGTCTATGGAAACTAATTTGTTTGCTCTGTAGAGGGCTGAGTCACAGGTGGAATCAGCAAAAGCAGCTGCCTATTTATACATAGATTTTCAGAGACTTCAACTTAGGACAAGTCAAGTTTGCCTCCAGTCAGCCTAATACTGTGAGATCTGTGTCTATTATTCTAGCAAGGGACACTACATGGTTTGTCTACTCTCCAAAGGAAAATAATTCAGGGCGTACAGAATAGTCTTTATTCAGCATTAACACCCAGTGAAGAATAGCCCAAATTTCTATCCAACTTCTAAACCAATTCACAAATAAAAGTGTAAGCACGTAAGAGCCAAAGTTTCACCTTAATTAATGATAAAGCAGATATTGAAGAATAGAGCATAAGTTCTCAGGGAGCTGAGCTAGGCTTCCTAATACCATATACCAAGACCTAGGCAGCCAACACTGCACCAGAATTCGCCACTCTACACTTTCTTCCAGCAGCTCCAGAAGAAGCCCAGCACAACGCATGCTTTCCAGGGACAGCTCACTCTCAGGACAAAGGGAAGAATAAAATATTTTCTATGTTTGATAGGATCTTCTCTTTAAAGCCATTGATTAGAATTTGAAACTTTTCCTCCCTAGGAAGTAATGAATGAGAGATGAAGGAAGCTAACAGAGTTAATGGAAACACATATGTCACAATGTTAGGCTATACCCACTCCCTTCATAGTCCTTCTCTACCCGAAGCACAGTTCTGCAAAGAGAAAGGGCGAAAACACAGAACATATATTTCTTGTCCAGGAGAAATCCATTTACAAGATTTAAAGTATTTCCCAGATACTCCATTACCAGGCATCATCGAGTTGAGCTTAGCTATGAAGACGTCTTGATTGTACCCCTTTGCAGAGGTTTGGATAATTTATCCATGAGGGAGATATGACAGGGACACTGTTATTAATGTGGAAATATGTTATTAACGTGGGAGTATGTTATTAACATGGGAGTCATCCCAGAAGAAACGGAGTGCAGAGACAGTCGACCTATTTCTCGTCATCCGTATCTCAGTACATGGCAAGGCAAACACTGATTGAAATATATTTGGCTCTCATTTGCTTGTAATTAATATTTTTCATTACAATGATAGATTTATCTATTTGGTTTAATTGTTTTCTCAGCTTGCCAAATCATTTTGAGATGGGCAATATGGCAGCACAAGATATCTAGACATATCATCACACATTACTGATTTGAGAATTCATTGGGATATGAGAAATGAAGAGCAAATTACATAGATTTTGCAGTGACTTCTTCCCAGAGACCAAGGAAAGGGAGTTCTTTGCACTGAAATCAGTGTTGCGGGTTCCATATTAAATGAAGCGTAGGAATAAGCCTGTCACAACCTGCGATGTATTGTTCATTCCTCTACCCAGGTATACGACAGCCTCACTTGGGTGGTGCCAATTCAACACACCATCTGTCAAACACACACAAATACCAATTTCTTTTATTAAAAGATAATGATCTCACTTCCACTCATTTAATATTCAAAATTCACCTAACAGCCAGGACAATTTTTCATGTTTATTTGGGAAAACTCCGACAAAGGCCAGTCCTTTCCTTCCTCATTTATTGCTCTTGAAAGTCTAATTTCCCCCGATGAAAATCAGTTTTTCCAATGATAGAAGAAAAGTAATTAAATATGTTCACTTCATAGCTAACTTATCTCATTGCCAGCCGTCGAAATAGCTGAATAACTGTGTCAGGACAAAAGCAATAACATAGTGATATGGGTAACAGGAAATTAGGGGCACATGATTTGTCCCTCTGGATACAGACTGGCATTGACTTTTATATGACCAGAATGGGTATAATGACTCATATTTATTGCCCTGTGAGTCGTGCCCTTCCCCATCACACACTGATGCAAGCAGAGCTGAAATAATCAAAAGCCAAATGTGTGCCAGGGTCTTCTCCATCTGTTTGAACTAGAAAACCAGAGACCAAAGTGTTTGGCAAGCAAGGTCCCAAACATAGCTTTCGTATTTCAATTTTTAAGCTTCACTTGAGATGAAGATATGCCACGGAAGGTTTTGTTTAAAATGGGACCACTGTTTAACTTGTGCATTTTAATGAAAAGCTAAGGAAGAAATGAAAATTCACATAGTTCATGTCTATTGAAAGAAAATTGGCTAATCATACCGTGAGGTCTTTCAGTCATCTAGTTTTATAACTGGATACCGAATACTCGGAATTCGTAAGTGGCAATCTGTTCTGAAGTAGGTATCATTTGAAATGGACTCTTCACCACACAGAAACTGCAGCAGAGCTGTTCATTGACATTCTGCAAAGGCCTTGAAGTGAGTGGGTGCACCTACACCACTGGTTTCCTTGTCTGTTTGGGTCATCTCCTGAAGGATCAGACTGAAAGTATGTATTCTCTCTCCTCACAGAATCTAAGACCTATGCAACCATGCCATTTACATAAAATTGTCTGCTGCCTACCATGCTTCAAGTCCAAAAAGAATTTTATAGACCTGTGCTGCTAACAGAGAAGTAAAAATGTGCATTTTTAATGAGCAAAGTTGATTTTTAAGGTAATTATTCACAAATACTTGTTTAAAAAAAGTCTTCCATATGGTACATGGCCACTTCTATAGGCATTCAGGAAGTGTGTACTAGCTGGGTGCCTTTGGTCATGCCTTTCTACTCTAGAAAACTTGCCAGAGTATGAATATGGGTGGTATTGTTTAAACATAATAATGTACGGTGATGAAGTGTTTGGAAAAATTAACATATGTTACCAAAAATAATTCCTTACTGCACCTCTTACATCTCATAAAACATGATGGTTTTCACATAAGGCTGTGTAGACACAATGTATCTTCTCGTCAGGGAGGTGCCAGGTATATTCCATCTCTGCTAATTCTGCTTCAAAAAGTGTAAAACCTAAAATAATATCTCCACTTAATTTATACAGGTTTGCTCCTACTCTACTCTTGGACAGACATAATACTAATGGAAATCTATAGATTCACACCACTTAATCTTGTCTATGAGTTTGCTTAAAATTTTCTTTGTTATCTTTTTTTTCCAAGCCTATTGCCAACAGATGCAGAAGAAGATGTAAATAATATATTTAGTTTGAGTAAAACACAGTTGCTGAGCTATAAGTAGAGATAAATTATTGTCCAAAGCAGGCCACGTTTGAGGGTGAATGCAACACATTATAATTAAACCCGAACAAGTGGCAAAGTCCAGAGCAATCCTGGCCCCACTGTGTGACCTACTGAATAGTGTTATCAAAATCCCACACTTAGCAGTTAATCTTCCATGAATGGGTTTACTGTGGTTCTTTCTCTCTCTCTCTCTCTCTCTCTCTCTCAGTTGTGCTTTTTTACAGCTTGGCTTGATTTCTTCCATGGCTGGATTCATGGACGCACGGCATGAGTTAGAGCTTTACAGTTTCTCTCTGGCACTCATATGTGCTTGCTGCTGCTTGGCTTATTCCTCAGGGAGACAAAATTACTACCAGCATTGAATCCTTCTAGCTTAGAAGCAGGGAGGCAACTTCTCTTTCCTCCAAGGCTATATAATAATCCCAGAAAGTACTAATTGATGCTGCTTTGGTTACATGCACCTCCCGGAATCAAACAGGGAGGCAGGGGTGTTGCTCTCTGTCTCTCATCACCAATACAATGGGAGAGCGGGGTGCATAATCAAGTGTTACCTGAGGACCAAAGAGGAGGCAATTCGGGACAGGTGTAGCAGTACAAATATTCAGTCTTTCAGGATAACACAAGGCGTGAAAACACAAATATTTAATATTTTAGGATGACACACCTAAGTTATGTTTGTTTCTGAAAATAAAATCCTTGCTGTTTTTAGTACACTATGTTGTCTTCTCCACACATAATCAATGATGACAAGTTTTAGGCAACATAATTTTTAATAGATTTCCATTTGTTCTAATTTTAGTGGCCTTATTGGTGTGGTTCTCCATATGCTATTTGACAGTGATGTATTGCTTTATTAAGACACTGGATTTTGTTAGTTTCTTCCTTTCTGTGTTAATAATTGAACCATAGTCAAATCACTAGATATGAAGGCCTTGGCTGGCAGTTTTTCAGGTGAAGTGTAGTCTTTTCTAGGTTTAGACTATAAGCCAATACTTCTTCAATTTTCTCAGTACAAAGGAAAAAAAAAACCTTCTAAACAGGAAACAAAATCCAAGTTGTTGCATTGACTATTTTTTTCTGTATTTTTTTATTATTATACTTTAAGTTCTGGGATACATGTGCAGAATGTGCAGGTTTGTTACATAGGTATACATGTTCCATGGTGGTTTGCTGCACCCATCAACCCATCATCTATATTGTGTAATTCTCTTAACACTATCCCTCCCCTAGGCCTTAGCCTCTGACAAGCCCTAGTGTGTGATGTTCCCCTCCCTCTGTCCATATGTTCTCATTGTTCAATTCTCACTTATGAGTGAGAACATGCGGTGTTCGGTTTTCTGTTCCTGTGTTAGTTTGCTGAGAATGATGGTTTCCAACTTCATCCATGTCCCTGCAAAGGACATGAACTCATCTCTTTTTTTATGGCTGCATAGTATTCCATGGTGTATATGTGCCATATTTTCCTTATCCAGTCTATAATTGATGGTCATTTGGGTTGGTTTCAAGTCTTTGCTATTGTGAACAGTGCTGCCATAAACATACACGTACACGTGTCTTTATAGTAGAATGATTTATAGTCCTTTTGGTATATACACAGTAACGGGATTGCTGGGTCAAATGGTGTTTCTGGTTCAAGATCCTTGAGGAATTGCTACACTGTCTTCCACGATGGTTGAACTAATTTACACTCCCTCCAACAGTGTAAAAGTGTTCCTATTTCTTCACATCCTCTCCACATCTGTTTCCTGACTTTTTAATGACCGCCATTCTAACTGGTGTGAGATGCTATCACATTGTGGTTTTGATTTGCATTTCTCTAATGGCCAGAGATGATGAGACTTTTTTCCTGTGTTTGTTGACCGCATAAATGTCTTCCTTTGAGAAGTGTCTGTTCATATCCTTTGCCCACTTTTTGACGTGGTTGTTTGTTATTTTCTTGTAACTTTGTTTAAGTTCCTTGTAGATTCTGGATATTAGCCCTGTGTCAGATTGATAGATTGCAAAAATTTTCTCCCACTCTGTAGGCTGCCTGTTTACTCTGATGATAGTTTCTTTGGCTGTGCAGAAGTTTTTTTAGTTTAATTAGATCCCATTTGTCTATTTTGACATTTGTTGCCCTTCCTTTTGGTGTTTTAGTCATGAAGTCTTTGCCCATGCCTATGTCCTGAATGGTATTGCTAGGTTTTCTTCTAGGGTTTTTATGGCTTTAGGTCTTACGTTTAAGTCTTTAATCCATCTTGAGTTAATTTTTGTATAAGGTGCAAGGAAGGGGTCCAGTTTCAGTTTTCTGCATATGGGTAGTCAGTTTTCCCAAAAACAGTTATTCATTAGGGAATTCTTTCCACATTGCTTGTTTTTGTCATGTTCTTCAAAGATCCACAAAGGTGAGGAAAAACCAGCATTGACTATTATCTGGTTCTTACAACACTAAAATTAAGTAGAGACAGATAGAGACATATTAACAGATTAAATGTGAGATAACAGAGAAAAATGTAGGAAGACTAAAGTTTAGCAATTATAATAATTGTATTAGTAGTCAACTTGTTTTGAGTTCTTAATCTAATTTATGAATGTGTTAAATGAATGTGTTAAACTCCTTAGGTTCAATATTATGATTTTTACAAGGGTATATTACCCAGACTTTACACTTGAGGAGATAAGAGAAATAAAGAAACTTATCCAATGTTACACATCTGAAAGTGGCAAGCAGCATTCAAACTCACAACATTCTGGCCCAAGTTCCAAGGAGCTTTGGACTGACTTCATCTACACAACAGAAGTCACTTATGCCACAAAAGGCCCAGGCTAATGAGGGCAAGACAGAGAGAGGGTGTTATGATGCTTACCCCATGGTAGGTTTAAATGTCTGTTCTCAGCCCTCTACTTCACCATCTTATGGGGAAAGGTGTGTGTCTTCATCTCTACATCCTCAGTCTAGCCAAGTACCTATAGCATAGTACATATCAAGTCAATGAGCTAAAGAATGAATGAATGAATAAATAAATGTTCTACTGGCCTATATTCTCACACAAATATTACTTTGAGTAATTTTGTAGCATAGAAGAAAGCATCCTAAGATTAACAACAATAGCAGATACCAAATTGAAATGTTATTTTAAATGTTCTGCTAAAGAATAAAATTTAGCGATAATTCTTATTAAATTTAAAATAAAATTATCTCAGCAGTAGTTTGTAGTTCTCCTTGTAGAGATCTTTCACCTCCCTAGTTAGCTGTGTTCCTAGGTGCTTTGTTGTTGTTGTTGCTGTTTTTTTGTGTGTGTGTGTGTGGCAACTGTGAATGAAAGTTTATTTCTGATTTGATTCTCGGTTTTACTGTGGTTGGTGTATAGGAATGTTAGTGATTTTTATTTTTGCACATTGATTTTGTATCCTGAGACTTTGCTGAAGTTGTTTATCAACTTAAGGAGCTTCTGGGCCAAGAATATGGGGTTTTCTAGATATAGGATCTGGTATTTGTAAACATGGGTAATTTGACTTTCTCTCTTCTTATTTGGATGCCTTTATTTCTTTATCTTGCCTAATTGCCCTGGCCAGGACTTCCAATACTATGTTAAATAGGAGTGGTGAGACAGTGTATCCTAGTTTTGTGCCATTTTTCAAAGGGAATGCTTCCACCTTTTACCCATTTGGTATGATGTTGGCTATGGGTTTGTCATAGATGGCTCTTATTATTTTGAAGCATGTTCCTTCAATACCTAGTTAATTGAGAGTTTTTAACCTAAATGGTTGTTGAGCTTTATTGAAAGTCCTTTCTGTTTCTATTGAGGTAATCATGTGGTTTTTGCCTTCAGTTCTGTTTATGTAATGAATCACATTTATTGATTTGCATGTGTTGAACCAAACTTGCATCGTGGGGATGAAGTCTACTTGATTGTAGTGGATTAGCTTTTTGATGTGCTGCTAGATTTCGTTTGCCAGTATTTTGTTGATGATTTTTGCACTGACATTTATCAAAGACATTAGCCTGAAGTTTTCTGTTTTTGTTCTATCTCTGCCAGGCTTTGGTATCAAGATGATGCTGGCCTCATAGAATGAGTTACAGAGGAGTCTCTCCTCCTCAATTTTCTGGAATAGTTTCAGTAGGAATGGTACCAGCTGTTCTTTGTACATCTGGTAGAATTCAGCTGTGAATCTATGTGCAAGGAATTCAGAGATGACACAAACAACTGGAAAAACATTTCATGCTCATGGATATGAAGAATCAGTATAATTAAAATCATCATACTGCTCAAAGCAATTCACAGAATCAATGCTATTCCTATCCAGCTATCAATGACATTCTTCACTGAAAAAAAAAAACTATTTCAAAATTCATATGGAACAAAAAAAAGAGCTGAAATAGCCAGGGCAATTCTAGCAAAACTGGAGACATCATGTTACCTGATATCTAACTATACTATAGGGCTACAATAACCAAAGCAGCATGGTACTGATATAAAAAGAGACGCAGACGAATGAAATAGAATAGAGAACCCAGGAATAAGACTGCACACCTGCAACTTTCTAATCTTCAACAAACCTGACAAAGCAATGGGGTAAATGATTTCCTATTCAATAAATGGTGCTTGGATAACTGGCTAACCATATGCAGAAGACTGAACTGGACCCCTCCTTACACCATATACAAAAATCAACTCAAGATTAATTAAAGATGTAAATGTAAAACCCCATACTATAAAAACCCTGGAAGACAACCTAGGCAATACCATTCAGGTCATAGGCATGGGCAAAGATTTTATAATGAAATGCCAAAAGCAAATGCAACAAAACCAAATACTGACAAATGGTATGTAATTAAACTAAAGAGCTTCTGCAAATCAAAAGAAGCTATCAACAGAGTAAGACAACCAACAGAATGAGAGAATGACCTCATAAAAAAAGTGGGCAGAGGACATGAACAGACACTCTTCAAAAGAAGAGATACATTTAGTCAACAATCTTATGAAGAAAAGCTCAATATCACTGATCATTAGAGAAATGCAAATACAAACCACAATGAGATACTATCTCAATCAGTCAGAATGGTTATTAATAAAATGTCAAAAGAAAACAAAAATCAAAAACATAGATGCTGGCAAGGTTATGGAGAAAAAGAATGCTTATACACTATTGGTAAGAGTGAAAATTTGTTCAGCCATTATGGAAGACAGTGTGGCGATTGCTCAAATGGAACCCCACAATCCCATTACTGGCTATACACCCAAAGGAATATAATTCATTCTATTATAAAGATACATGCACATGCATGTTCACTGTAGCACTAATCACAATAGCAAAGACAGAATCAACCTAAATGCCCATCAATGATAGACTGAATAAAGAAAATGTGGTACCTATTCACCATGGACTACCATGCAGCCATAAAAAGAACAAGATCACGTCCTCTGCAGGGAGATGGATGGAGCTGGAGACGATTATCTCTAGCAAACTAACTCAGAAACAGAAAACCAAATACTACATGTTCTCACTTTTAAGTGGGAGCTAAATGATGAGAACACATGGACACACAGAGGGGAACAACACACCCTGGGGCCATTCAGAGGGTGGAAGGTGGAAGGAAAGAAAGGATAAAAAAAAAAAAAATAACTAACGGGTACTAGGCTTAATACACAGATGATGAAATAATCTGTGCAGGAAACCCCTATGACACATTTTACCTATGTAACAAATCTGCACTTGCACCCCTGAACTTAAAATAAAAGTTAAAAAAAAATAAAAAATAAAGTTCTGCCGATCACTTAAAATATTGCACTAAATTTAACAGGAAATCTTTCAGTGGATATTTATTATAAATCTTTCAGTGGATATTTATTATAAATTAAAAAGCTTAAGCCAGGCGCGGTAGCTCAAGTCTGTAATCCCAGCACTTTGGGAGGCCGAGGAGGGCAGATTGTCTGAGGTCAGGAATTCGAGACCAAGCTGGCCAACATAGTGAAACTCCATCTCTATTAAAAATACAAAAATCAACCAGGTGTTGTGGTGGGTGCCTATAATCCCAGCTACTCCGGAGGCTGAGGCAGCAGAATCGCTTGAACCCAAGAGACGGAGGTTTTAGTGCACTAAGACCGCGCCACTGCCCTCCAGCCTGGGCAACAGAAGGAAACTGTCTCAAAAAAAAAAAAAGCTTAAATGGCCTAAAAATGTCTTTGAAACATTATATAGATACATGAGGCAGTTATTATGCTTAAGTGATGGGAGTTTAATGTTCTTCTCATACATTAAACGTACAATATTTAGATTGAAAACAATAAAACAGAAATACTCCAGCTCATAGATCTTTTCACTGCATAAGCATTTCTATTAACAATAGGAATTATCATGTAATTGTATATTTCAACATGATAATCACTGAAATCTGACTCGGGTCAAAGAGGTCGCTTCTGAATCTAAGTCTACACACTCTGTCATCCACAGAGAAATGTTGGCTAGCCACAAAATGTCACCTGAACTTAACGTTTTTCAGGATGTGATTAAAATTAACAACCACATTAAAGTACATGCTGTTAACTCACGTCTGTTTGTGCAGCTCTGTGAGGAGATGGACGCAGAGCACACACGTCTTCTCTTATACACAGAAGTGAGATGGCTTTCTAAAGGTAGATCACTGGCCAGAATTTTTGAGTTATAAGAGTCGCTCCAGAGATTTCTTTTAGAAAAACAGTCACCACTGGCAGCACATTTCAGTGACACAGAATGGGTCGCAAAACTTGCTTACTTGTGTGACATATTCAACCTGCTCAACAAACTCAATCTGTCATTTCAGGGGAGAATGACAACTCTGTTAAAGTCAACAGATAAAGTGGCTGCATTCAAAGCCAAAGTGGTGTTATGGTAGTGATGAATGAACACTGGGACTTCTGACATGTTTCAAACATTAGCAAAGATTTTTGAAAGAGACTGAGCCAGGACCTTCTTTCCCCCAGGTGGTGCATGATCACATATCTCAGCTTTCAAAAGAGTTTGACCATTACTTCCCAACCACGAAAGACCCCCAAACTGGGAAGGAATGGTGGATGCGCAACCCATTTGTGAATTAAACAGGTAAATTGGCTTTGTCCACACTGGAAGAGGATCAACTGCTTGAGCTTGCAAATGACACTGACCTTAAAAGTATGTTTGAGACAACTTCAAGTCTCCATACATTCTGGATTAAAGTCAAGGCAGGGGCATATCCTGAAGTTAACACAAAAGCATTGAAAAGCCTGCTTCCATTTCCAAAATTCTACCTTAGGGAAGCAGGGTTTTCTGCAGTGACAGCAACTACAACAGGATTAAGCAACACAATTCGGGTGTCACTCTCTCCCATCAGCCCAAGATGGCGAACATCTATTTCCAGGAAAACAAGCTCAGGGATCCCACTGATTCTACATTATGGTGAGTTGTATAATTATTGCATTATATATTACAATAATAACAGAATTAAAGTCCAAAATAAATGTATTGTTTTTGAATCATCCCCCAAGCATCCCCTGCCCTTGAGTCCATGGAAGAATTGTCTTCCATGAAACCAGTCCCTGGTGCCGAAAAGACTGGGGACCACTGTTTTAAATCACCCCTAGACTGCATATAATGCTTTCTATAGATGCAAATGGAGTGATTTCTTTTCTCCCCTTTATAAAGAGTCATGGCTGACACTCTTATAACAAAAGGCAGGATAAGAAGAGAAAAAATAACAAATATATTACTATTATGTACACACACATGCATGGGAATTGTTTAAATTATGAACTCAAAGATGGACCAGATGATTGAGGCTTAAATGGCTTATTCACAGAAGAAGGAGAGTGGGGAAATGAACCAGCCCATTATTCAGACCATACGGTTCACTGGAACAAAGGTTGTCTTACTATGCAGATAAAGTCTTTCAGGTAGTCTGTTGGAGCTGTTCACAGAAGATAGATTAAAAAGTCTGTCTGAGCGTGGTGGAGACCCCCAGTCTTTTATCTTCTTTGGTGGTTGATCTTTCCTGGTTATTTGGTGAGATTCCTAGGGAGGGTGGCTTAATATAATTGCATTTCTTTTGGAAAGAAATTTTCTTAAATGTGAAAATTCTAGAGGGAGCTTCTCCTAGTCCTTTCAGAAAGGATGAGAAAGACAGGGGCAGAGAGGAAAGGTCATAGAGAGACCATGGTCCTGGGGTTTATTTCTGAGCCCTTGTAATTTTCAAAGCACTTAGCGTGTCAAGGCACCATATTTTGGGGAATTGCTGACTTGGCAAAATAATCATTGCCATATATGTTTATCAAAATCTGATTATTTGTGTTAACACTTCTACCTCTTGCTTTACCATTTAGGTAGATCTTTTGGAGGACCTACTTTGAAAAGGCATTTTATTCATTCGTGCAATGCCTTGCAGGGCTTGATGCTTATGAACCCACTTCTTGTATCTACGCCTAGAAGTTCTTCATAAAATCAGCCCCCAGACCAGGCTATCCATTCTCCCCCAGTGGCTTAGATCTCTGTTAAAGAACAACATTGATCATTTATGTACCTGGATTGTCCAGTGCATATCCACACAAACAGAAATACTTCAAACATTCTGGGAGAACAATGCTAGAAACGTTTGTCTTTTCCTAACGGATTGCATTATCAACAGTATATCATATACAAGCAGGAAAAATCATAATAATATGGAATATTATTTGTTTATGTAATCATTTGAAACATCTGGGTGGTTTACTTTAAGCATTATAAGTTCTGCTAATATAAAGGTAGACACCAATTTAAAATATGTTAAAATTCAACACTTACAGCATTTCAAGTTCCTGGGTGATGATTAATTTGTCTATATGACATATAATAAACTGGAAATGTCCTACCAGTTCCACACTTAATTGCTATAATTACATCATTTAAATTTACCTATAGTTACTCAAGCTCAGAGCACCATAATAAACACTTCAACTTTCAATAGATTTTTAAGTTTCTTTAAATTTTTTTAATGTAGACTTATGGGGAAAAAATCAACAATTGTTTTTAAGGAGATATTTGAATGATGTCACCCACTATTTCGTTCTCTGAAGTGATCACAATGTAAATAAAATATGTTCTAGCAGGAAAATGTTGGCTTGAAAGACGCTTTAAGTACTCAGTTTCTATTATGGACTTTAGTAGATGGATTCTAATGCTTTCGAAATCAATGCAGACCCTTCTTGAATGTTCTCCAGAACTCCCTCTAGACCTGTACTATGTAACTTTTTTTCAGAAGCGTCAGACTACTAGCTATTCTTGAAAATGCCTGGTTTGCTTTGCAGCATAAAATAGATGGTTTTGCTTTCTGCACATTTGAGGCGGCAAAATTTCATTACCAAAATATTTCTTCTATTGAATCAAAAGCAACCTTGAGTTGCTAGTAACAATTTCATTATGTGAAGGCATTTTGAAAAATATAAAGCATTTTATAAATGTCATTGTTAAGCAGTATAATTTGAAAGTCTTTTCTAGAACCAAAAAGACATTGACACCTTGAAGTCATTTGTAATTTAATTGAACACCAAGATGCATTTTATTTTTCTTGTTCAAAATGGGATCGTGAATATTATTTAGTCATACTGCATCTTATGAAGATGGGAAATGAGAAAACAATTTAGAAAAAAACTCCCAAAATATCATAATTAGTCCATTTTAGCAATGCTTTCAAATAAAATTGCAATAATCATCAAAATAGCACTTTAGTGGTTTTCTAGAATGAGTCTCACAGATTACAACATTGAGGTATTCAAAACACAGATATTTATGTTTCCAAATATCCAATATTCTGCCAGGCATTGTAGAAGAGAGAAAGAGCTTACATATTTTCTGCCATGAAGCAGTACTCTTTTTGAGGAAATAGGGCAACTATAAAATAGTTTATAAATGACAAATGAATATATACATCAAATTGTGTTACTTACCTTCAAAGGGTTTAAGGCTGTGTCATAAATGGCTTACCAGACAGCTGTGGTATTTTTGCAAGAGAATATTTCCCCGATGAAGGATATTTTGATCAAGGAAAAAGAATATTCCAATAGCTCCATCTCTCTTGCCTTGAAGGATAAGGATCTCTTGCCTGGGGATGATAATTTTTTTAGAATAATCATTTCTTGTACCTGTAGCACAAGCTGACCTAAAGACATCCTTTACTGAAGAACAGATTTTCACTGATTGAATAATTATTTTTCTTTACTGGCTCATGACATTTCACCCCGTAAAACTACTGTATTAGTCCATTCTCAGGCTGCTATGAAGGAATACCCAAGACTGGGTAGTTTATAAAGAAAAGAGGTTTAAATGGCTCACAGATTCACATGGCTGGGTAGGCCTCAGTAAACTTACAGTCATGGCAGAAGGCACCTCTTCACAAGAGGACAGGAGAGAGAATGAGGGCCAAGCAAAGGGGGAAGCCTCTTATAAAACCATCAGATCTCCTGAGAACTCACTCACTATCATGAGAACAGCATTGGGGAAACCACCCCCATGATTTAATTATCTCAATCTGGTCCTGCCCTTGACAAGTGGGGATTACTACAATTCAAGGTGAGGTTTGGGTGGGGACACAGAGCCAAACCATATCAACTACTTTAGTCATTGTGAAAATGTTTATAATTAACACTTTCCTTTATTTCTAGAAAATTGAAGGTCTGTAATAAAAAGTGGAACCATGATCAGAAGTTACACTAATTTTATACTATTGTTTCAGTCCATTCTTGCATTGTTATATAGGAATTCCTGAGACTGGATAATTTATAAAGTAAAGATGTTTCATTGGCTTTCAGTTCTGCAGGGTGTACAAGAAGTGTGGTGTCTGCTTCTACTTCTGGTGAGGGCCTCAGGAAATTTCCAATCATGGCAGAAAGTGAAGGTGGAGGAGTGCATTACATGGCTACAGTGGGAGCAAGCCGTGGGGGAACGAGGATGCCACACTCTTTTGAACAACCAGATCTGGCATCAACTCAGAGCGAGAACTCACTCACTACTGTGAGAAGGGTACCAAGCCATTCATGAGGGATCCATCCCATGATCCAATACCTTCCACTATTCCCCACATTCAATATTGGGAATTACATTTCATCTTGAGATTTGGATGAGACAAACATCCGAACTATATCAACTATGTATTTTTTTAAAATAAACCCCAAGTTATTTAGTATTTTTTGAATATGAAAAAAGTCTTCACTGTGAGGGCAAGGGGAGGGATAGCATTAGGAGAAATACCTAATGTAGATGACAGGTTGATGGGTGCAGCAAACCATCATAGCATGTGTATATCTGTGTAACAAACCTGAACGTTCTGGACATGTATCCCAGGACTTAAAGTATAATAAACATAAATAAATATTAATTTTTTAAAAATGTCTCAAGTTTTTAATAAATTAATTTGCAAATTTATGAAGAAACTTTTAACCTTAGATGATTTATTTCTGGTGTAGGGACAACTGAGTCACTAGTAAGTCAATAGTGTAGATTTAAGGTAACTAATTTACTCTGACACAACTAAAGAATATGTACATAGACACAGACTTTTGAGAGAGTAAGAGAAAGACAGCAAGCAAATAATAAAGATTTGACTATTATAACAGTAGCAGAATTCTACATTTATCATGTCACTTTGAAATTTTCAAGAGGCCTTTGCTATTGACCATAATTCTTTACTAAATATCCATTTGAGTACAGACATTGCAATTATATTTATTCTTGTAAATATGCACTTCATTACAATATAAAGTCCTATTTTGCTACTTCTGTCATGCATTTGAATTTTCAAGTTTAATATTAATCTGATAGCAGATGATGATAAATATAAACCACAAACTGTAAATTGGTCTGCTCCCTTGTTTGTGTTAAATCCCTCAGATTTGTTTAACTACTTAGTAAGAAACAATCTGATAAACACTTAAATCCCATTCTCTTATTTTCTAAAGAGATATATTTTAATCAATTGTAATTTAGTAACATTTCCTACTACATCAAAATCTCTATAAAGGAGAAAAGAGTAACATGCATGTCTTGTTTGCTACTATACTTCTTAAAGTTACTAGAATGTAGTAAATTCTAGATTAATATTTGCCAATTGGTTATTTAGATGGTTGGATGATTTGCCAGAGTTGATGCGAGCAATACAACCACCAATCTGTCTTTCAAGGCAGCCAATTGTATCTTTTATTATATGGAGGCTAGAGGAAAACTGAATGTGGACATGGTTCAATTTATGCCTCTTTCTCACTGCAAATTTGCCAACCTCAGCAATCATCCTTAATTGCTTTAATCCAAGGATACAAATCTGTCCCTTTCTTCTTTAAATCCAGTTCCATTACCTGCATTTTAAATTTCATCTCCTACCTTCTCTAGGACCAGGCTAAACTATCTGATCTCCTCCCTGTCATCTTTGTTGTTTTACTCCCTTTACAGAATTCATTCTTTCAACCAATAAATGTGCCCGCATCCCCTCCTTTGAGCCTGTGATCTCTTCCATAAAGCCTCCCTTCTCCCTTTGCATTGAACCTTCTGTGGAGCTGTCTACTCCATGGTGCTTACTTCCCCACTTCTCTTTCCTTATTCAAAACACACTCAAAATTTTGCCCCCAACATCCATTTGAAGTTATTGTCAAGTCATTCCCAAAACTGCAAAGTTTCAAAATGAAAGAATACTTTTGTGCCCCTGTATTATTGCCAGTGCTAACAGCAAAACACTCATTGCCCACTTCAAACTCTCTACTCCCCGTCACTGACACAATAGTCCCTTCCAGGTCTCTGGCCAGTGTTCCTCTATTTAAGGGCCTTCACCAATCAATGCAAGTTATTTATGTGCTTTTCTTATATTCCCCTCTTATCTTTTGCGTATCGGTATTTCTTAGGCTTCTGTCTTTAACCTACTACTGTTTTCATTCTATAAACTTTCCCCCGGTGGTCTCATCTACTCCCATCATTTCAAGTACTCCCTCAGTGAAACCCTGCTTTTTTATGCAATAGCTTCCCCATAGTCACTGCAGACAACACTAAGATCGCTTTTTAATCTCCAGGAACCACCTGTTCACACTCTGCAGGAAGTAGAAGGAAAAAGGCATCCATGTAATTGCCTTTGTTGATATTTTGAAGTTATGTCGCATGACCATAACTTTTGGCATAAGACACCTAAACATGTAGTCCTTGGCTGGGAAGCCATTGCTTAGTAACACTATCCAAAGGAAGCAGCAGCCACACTTTTAGTGGCAGCACTTTCGGCCATAATTATACTGTCCTCATTCTAAAGCTTCTATGCTTGGAATTTGAATGCACACAAATTTCTTATTCTCTGAGACAACCAGATATCTGAAATTTTACTGTAGTAAGACTCATTTTAAAACTCAGGTTAGTCTATAAGCTAACCAAAGTGCCATAAAACATATATTTAACTAAGGATCTCTTACCGTGAATTTACCCCAGGTACTATATGTTTAAAAATGTTCATCATATATTCATTTCTTGCTATTCTTTCTTAACTTTTGTCCTTGAAAATATAAAATTCCAAAGATCTTATTTTCCCCCAAAATAATCTATCTATTCTATGGAATGGCTCTAGCCCTTATTCTCTCTTTGCTATCTTAAGGAGGTTCAAGGCCATCTTAAGGAGGTTTAAACAATACCTTCTGTGACTTTTTGACTCAATGCTGAGGAGTGTTGGTTTGATTCTCAGATGTCAGCCATTCTCAACAAGTTTGATCTAATGAACTTGAAAGTGTTTTCCACAGAAGCTGGGCAGAAAAAAAAAGAAATTTAGTAACATTTAAAAAGTGCTATTGCAGCCTTACTTGTTCTGATGAGACAACTATTTGAGAACTATCACATGAGTGCATAAATTAAGGTTAATACTGGATGAGAAATTGCAAGTCAACTGCAACTCCCTTCAGAATACATAGAACCACAATATGGATGACACAGGAGAGGTCTACAATGCCGGAAAACCCATCAGTGAAAGCTTTATAAAATGAAATGAGAGGACATTCATTCTAACATTGACTTTTTCTCTTAAGCAAAACTACTTGTATATGTTGCAATTGAATATTAAAAAAATAAACTTTAGTCTCCCCTTTGAGCCTTTAAGTTGGAAAATATTTGCATACCTGACTAGGGCAAGCTCTGTCCTCCTCTCTTCATTTCCCATACATACTCCTTCAGTAAATGTGTAAATACCATAGGCTTCTCTAAACTTTTATCCTCAGATCTAGCCTTTCATCAAAAATCTAGTTATGAAATAATTTCTGGACACTGGGAATCTCTTCTTGTGTATATATTGTCATCACAGAGGGACTTCTTCCAGCAACCACGTGTTATATTCCTCAAAATTCTACCTTTCTCACCTGCTCATCTTCCCAAGTGGTCCTTTTCTTCTTTCAGTATCTAACTCTGATCATGCAGACTATTTTTCCCCCAGACTGTGACATTGGATCAAGTTTACCTTGTATAATGCAATTTTGTAGGGCATCTTTTGTCAGACATTTGGGATACAGTTATCACAGGAAGAACTTTCTAAGCAGAGTTAAGTTTCCCACAGGAGATGGGTACCTAAGTTTTCTTTTCTCATAAAGAATGAAAGACAGGTAGAGAAATTCTCATTCCCAACTTATCTCCTCGCAGGACTTACTAATATACAAGCCCACTCAGCTTCATACTCTCAGTTCTCTTGTTGTCTATTCCCCTGCTTTGACTGTAAAAGCCCGACTTATTGAGTGTTACGACCTCTTCAGTACATAAGCTGATGTCTCATCACAGATGTATTAAGCCATTTCCTACATTCCAGACTGATTGTTCTTTGATGTGAATTGTCTTTCTCAAACACAAATATTCCATTGTCAGGATGTGCCTGGCATTGTTTATTTGGTGTATAAAATTAGCACTTGGAGCGAACCTAACTAACAAGGCAACAAATTTACTGTTAACAGTCTAATTAGATTGTAGGTCCAATGGAGGTAGAGTAGAATATGACTCACTCCTAGCCTAATCTATTACATTTAATATCAACTACAAACATTTTATTACATTACATGTCTATTTGGGACACAGAATGTTATTAAAGCTCCAGCTTATTTGTGTGCATTGCTTGTGTTCACAGACAAATAATAATATGTTTTGCCTACAATGGCTTTAAGACTTCCAAATATATGGGGAAAAAATCAGTAAATAAATACTGATGATTTGATATTCATAAAATATGGTTAAGATGTAGATTGCTGATATTATAGGGAAAAAAGTATATTTGACTCACAAAATCTTTAATACTAGATTGAATGATGGTCACTTTAGCTTATTAAACTCAAACTGGGATAAAGTCCGAATTTTACGTTGCCATTAAACCAACCATTATTTTTCACCAAATTCATGAACAAAATGTTTAATCTTCTTGAGTTTGCATCACTAGTATTTCAGTGTGCACCATTTCTCTTTTACCCAGTTACTGCTATTTTTAATAGCTGACAATCCTCTTTGAATTCCTTATATAAAACTATATGGAGGAAAAAGAATTATACTGTTTATACTCAGCTTTCAGTTATGCATGGTGTGCAGTTTGTGTAAAATAATATTAGTTTATTTTTAAAAAGGAAAATGAATTTAGCTTTTTTAGGAACATCATAATAATGCCGCTCTGGAAAGTCTGACTCCAGTCAAGTTTGCTTCAAGAATTGTGGAAACCAAATAACACATTCACGGTAACACTGTTTACTTTAAAACCATCTCTAAGGAAACACCTGTGCAACAACCTTAAATAATGTATTTTTTAAAGTATCAGAAGGAGTGAGAGACTAGACTTATCATTTTCTTTCCAATTTTCTCCAAAGTGTTGAAGGATGTAAGTCTCTCCAGAAGTGCACGCACTCAAGTGTGTGTGTTTGTACCTGTGTGTGTTCTCTGACATGAAAATGGTGAGGAAGCAGTGTACTACCATACAGAGTCTCCCTCTCCCTTTCCTAGACTTGCTGAACCATATTACCTTCTGTATTAGTCAGGGTTCTCTAGATAGAACCAATATCTGGAGAACTCTGACTAGAGGATTGAGTGGATGGATAGCCAGATATCAGGATGGATGGATGGATGGATGGATTGATAGATACACTGATAAGAGAGGATTTATTAGAGGAATTGGCTTACATGATAATGGAGGATGAGAAGCCCCACAACAGGCTGCCTGGAAGCTGGAGTCTCTGGGAAACCAATAGTGTGGCTCAATCCAAGTCCAAAAGACTGGAATTTATGCTTACAGAGGCTTGTCATATTCTATGCACCGTTCTCAGCATTTTATGTGTACTCTCATGTAAAATTAAGAAGACAACTATTTTAAGTATAAAGCAAAGAAAAATAAGTTATCCAAGTTGTTTGTGAGCAGAGTGTTGCTATAAAGGTGATTCTTTACCTCTCAGAGAGGTGAAGACTCTAGTTAGAATTGATCTGTGTCAGCCGGGTGTGGTGGCTCATGCCTGTAATCCCAGCACTTTGAGAGCCCTAGGAGGGTGGATCACCTGAGGTCAGGAGTTTGAGACCAGCCTGACCAATATGGTGAAACCCCATCTCTACTAAAAATGCAAAAATTAGCCAGGAGTGGTGATGGGTGCTGGTAGTCCCAGCTACTTGGGAGGCTGAGACAAGAGAATTGCTTGAACATGGGAGGCGGAGGTTGCAGTGAGCCGAGATTATGCCACTGCACTCCAACCTGGGCAACACAGCGAGAGCAAGACTCCATCTCAAAAAAACAAAACAAAACAAAGAAAAAGAAAAAAAGAATTGATCTCTGTCTATCACTCTCTCAGCTCTATTTTCTATGTTCAGAATCAGAAAACCCAGTGATAAAACCCTTTAATTTGACACTGAAGGCCTGAGAACCCAGGGTATTGAGGGAGGCTACTGGTATCAATCCTGCAGTCCAAAGGCCAGACCACTTGGAGTTCTGGGTGCAAGGGCAGGAAAAGAATGGTGTCTCAGCTTCAGAGGAGAGAGAGAAAAAAAGGCAGAGAGAGATTCTTTTTGTTCTCTCTGGACCCCTATCCACATTGAGGGCAGATCCCTTCCACTCAGTCCACCAACTTACATGCCAATCTCCTTTAAAGACACCCTCACAGACACATCCAGAAGTATTGCTTTACTAGCTCTCTAAGTCTCCAATTCGATCAAATCGACACCTAAAATTAACCATCACACTTGCCATACTTTTAGCATTACTGTGCTTTACAGAAGATTACATTTCTAGAAGGCTTGTCATATGCCATACACTGTTCTAAGCATCTTGTATGTATTATAATGTATAATTAAGAAGACAACTCTATTAAGTATAAAGCAAAGAAAAAAATAGTTTGTGAGCAGAGTGTTGCTGTGAAGGTGATTCTCTGCCACTCAGAGAGGCAAAGGCTCTGATCAGAATTTATCTATGTCTGTCACTCTCTAGTGACTGTATTTTTTTGTATGTCAAGACTGCTCTCTGCATCACTTCTTAGATCCTATCTGTCCGCCAATGTATTTCTCCTCTGTTTTCTTCTTGTCTTGTACATTACATACAACTTTTCTCAGCTTTTGCAGAAAGCTTGCCATATAATAAGCAGGATAAACAGAAAATAAGTAATAAAAGGGAAGATGGTTATATCCCTTGATCAGCCAGAACTCCCATCCTGAATGGTATCTGGCCAACCACACTGAACCTTTTATCACATTCCAGGCTTCTGCACATCTTCACGGCATTAATTCCTGCTGATCAGTAAGGAGAAATAACTGAAGCTTTTTCTTAGCTCAGAGTTAATGTGAAGACCCAGTGCTTCAGGAGACATGCCATTTAGCACAAATTTCACTTTATTCTGTGTGCCTAATTTATCATCACTCAGATCATAAATTTGTATTTTTTTCTAGAACAGAAAAATAGATATATATTACAGGCCACCTATTTTCACATGGCATTAATCAAATATCACCATCAGGAATAAAGAAAATTTAATAGGCACAAACTGCAAATCTAGCAGTCCAATGACAGGAATACGGTAGGTTTTTTATCAGATAAACATGCCAACTACTCCCTTGTATGCTATATTTTGTTATGCTTATTCTACATGGACAGGTTGTCCTCAAAGAGTGCTTTTTGAGATAAGATGTATGAAATCACGCAAGAGACTGGGTGCTGTGGCTCATGCCTGTAATCCTAGCACTTCAGGAGGCTAAGGCGGGTGGATCACCAGAGGTCAGGAGTTTGAGACCAGCCTGGCCAACATGGTGAAACCCCATCTCTACTAAAAATAATAATAAAAAAAAATAGCCAGGTGTGGTTGCAGGTGCCTATAATCCCAGCTACTCAGGAGGATGAGGCAGGAGAATCCTTTGAACCATGGGGGCAGAGGTTGCAGTGAGCTGAGATTGCACCACTGCACTCCAGCCTGGGCGACAGCATGAGACTCTGTCTTGAAAAAAAAAAAAATCATGCAAGAAATGATTCTTATTTTGGTTCAGTTTTAACATATATAAAACAGTCATGGTATAGCAGGCATGCATTGCAGTACAGCAGGGGGATTATAGCCTGTGCTAAAAAGGTAAACGTTTATGGAATAATTAATGAAGGATCCCTTCACAAGTTGAGTCTCCTACTACAGATAAAAGTATGTGTACACTTGAAATTTCTACAAAGTGCATATACTGCCTATCTAAATAACTCAGTTTACATGTGTAATAAACTAGCTGTATATATTTAGTAATTAAATAATGAACAAACATAGGTAAGTACATGAGGTATACAATGGAATATAATGAAAATAAAAGGAAGAATGCAGCAAAAATCAGGATAAAAGTAATTATATACTTTTGTCAAAACATAGCAAATATTTAGAAATAAAACACTGGATGAATATGTGTAGGTTCAGAATAAAGTGACTTTGAGTGCATGAAAACAGGGACAGCAGTGTAGCTTTTTACTTGAGTATGGAGTTTTAGGCAAAATATTTGCAGCAGCAAATTTTATAAGATCTCTTGCTAAGTGAGACTCTGCTATAAGGAGTATATCTTGCTGACAGGCTCCAGCCACAGTGCCTTGGGGATCTGCCACAGAGTTCAAGTCAAACGCACCTTCTTCCTTAGCCACTTCCAGGCAATGACTGAGCACAGCAAGGTTGCTGGGATCTGGCCATTTCTGCCCAACATGGGGCACCTCTAAAGGCAATCTTTGGCATTCCATTTCTGGCATGGCCATACAGTCTCAGAGCTGCACCTCGGTACCAGGTTCTTTCTGAAACTCAAATTTTACATCTTTCCTCGTATTCTTACCATATGTCAGAACTGCATCAAAGTCTTAAGTTTCTCCTTGACTCACCATGCTTCTTTTCCCCTTCATCTTTCACAAGTGTTCTTCCCTCCTATCCCCTTGGCATCTGCTTCCTAGAAGACACAAACAGACACAGAATTCAAAAAGTCTTTCTCCTCTCTTCAAAATGTTTTCTCCAACAAGTCAAAATATTCTTCCAGGTATTAAAAATCTCTCCAATAATACACAGGTAGGTTTTGAGATGAATTAGTAGCCACTTCCCTCTCAAGAAGAACTAATTCAATAATTACGGTTGTTTACTTAATATAGATTAGTGGAGTCTAACTTAGGAAAGTTTAATGTGGTTGATGGCCAGAGAGGATCAGTGTGGATAATGTAAGAGAGTATATAGGAGTCATAACAGTAGAATGAACTAAGTCCTCTCCTGCTGTGTAAGGTTACAGACAGAAGACGCCACCTATGAACCCGAAAGTGGGTTCTTGCCAGACACCAAATCTGCCTGCTGCTTGATCTTGGACTTCCTAGCCTCCAGAATTGTGATAAAGACATTTCTGTTTTTTATAAACACCCAGTTTATGGCATTTTTTATAGCAGCCCAAACAGACTAAGATAGTAGCATCTTGTTGTTGAAATCTCTTGAAAGCCATAGAAATAATGCCTGGTACTGATCTCAACTATAATAAACAGTAATTGAAATTCTCAGAATACTTTAGTAATATTTAAAGAATTTCAACTGTAGTGAACAAAAAGGTGTATAGATAATTTTCAGATTGGAACACTAGCATGAAAATCGGTGACAATTTTCTTGAAATAGTTTGTATTCTGTTTTTATTAAAATTAATCTCTCCTCTCTAAATTAGTCTGCCTTAAGAAAATGCACCATTTGTCAAATACCTATAAGACAGATATATAGATACAATCATCAGACACATTTTCAATATTTAATAATTCATATCAATTGATAATTTTAAAGGGCTCCTTAAAAGATACCTAGAAACTACCATCAGAGTGAACAGGCAACCTACAGAGTGGGAGAAAATTTTTGCAATCTACTCATCTGACAAAGGGCTAATATCCAGCATCTACAATGAATTCAAACAAATTTACAACAAAAAACAAACAACTCCATCAAAAAGTGGGCGAAGGATATGAACAGACACTTCTCAATAGAAGACATTTATGCAGCCAAAAGACACATGAAAAAATGCTCATCATCACTGGCCATCAGAGAACTGCAAATCAAAACCACAATGAGATACCATCTCACACCAGTTAGAATGGCAATCATTAAAAAGTCAGGAAACAACAGGTGCTGGAGAGGATGTGGAGAAATAGGAACACTTTTACACTGTTGGTGGGACTGTAAACTAGTTCAAACATCGTGGAAGACAGTGTGGCGATTCCTCAGGGATCTGGAACTAGAAATATCATTTGACCCAGCCATCCCATTACTGGGTATATACCCAAAGGATTATAAATCATGCTGCTATAAAGACACATGCACACGTATGTTTACTGTGGCACTATTCACAATAGCAAAGACTTGGAACCAAGCCAAATGTCAAACAATGATAGACTGGATTAAGAAAATGTGGCACATATACACCATGGAATACTATGCATCCATAAAAAATGATGAGTTCATGTCATTTGTAGGGACATGGATGAAGCTGGAAACCACCATTCTCAGCAAACTATCGCAAGGACAGAAAACCAAACACTGCATGTTCTCACTCATAGGTGGGAATTGAACAATGAGAACACAGGGACACAGGAAGGGGAACATCACACACTGGGGCCTGTTGTGGGGTGGGGGGAGGGGGGAGGGATAGCATTAGGAGATATACCTAATGTTACATGACGAGTTAATGGGTGCAGCACACCAACATGGCACACGTATACATATGTAACTAACCTGCACTTTGTGCACATGTACCCTAAAATTTAAAGTATAAAAAAAAGATACATGGCATCATATGCTTTAATAAATTCTAACTCCAAGAAAAAATTATATAAATAAGTTAAAATAATTTTATTGAAAAATATATTGCTGCTCAATAATTAAAATTGTACTAATTCAACCACTCTTAAGTTCTTATAAAAAATTGTTTATTTCTCGATAAAAAGTTTTACAAAAATCTCAAATAAGTATGACAAAAACATGACAGGAGCACCATTTTTAGGTTACATTAAACAAGTGGTCTTAGAAAATTATTGACTACATTTACACAAAGTTATCATCTTAATCATTTTTTCTTTTTTTTTTTTCACAGTCACAAGTAGAATTACACTGATAACCTTTGAAGCATCAAGTTAAAGACTGTGTGCTTTCTGACGTTACGTAAGACATGGAAGATGACTTTTTCATGCTACTTAAGGATGATGGACACTGAAATAATTATAAATGTAGAGATAGTGTAGATAGTGTTTGAAGCAAGAATTATTGCATCTTTTCTGTGATGAACATGAATATTTGCCGGTACTCATATCAATAATGAACCGTGAGTGTCTTCTGGTACAGAGGACATTGAACATTTTTTCAGCTCGTAGACAGATTTCCTGCTTCAAGGAAATTCTCAGTAGCTTGACTCCTTGGCTATATAGATTAGACACCTGTAAAAGGGCAGTAAAATACAAAACCAGAAAGCAGAGAAGAGAATATAGGGAAATAATGAAAATAACACCAACTCAAATATTGAGGGAAAATATATGTAAATGTATCAAAGGATACCAAGAAAATTTAGTACTTATAATAAATACACATGTCAACATTAATATCCATTTCAGAGTGTTCATAAATGTCTATGGGGCCATTTTTTATAGCTTATGAATTATGATTTTATGTGCATCTTTTAGCAATAAATACCTATTGTTTAACACAAATAAGCATAATTATAGCATCAGAAAGCATTTATAATGAGATTAGATATGTTGTGAAATATAAAATATAAAAATAAAACCTA
Organism: Homo sapiens; assembly: GCF_000001405.40. Taxonomy (NCBI): domain Eukaryota; kingdom Metazoa; phylum Chordata; class Mammalia; order Primates; family Hominidae; genus Homo; species Homo sapiens. The sequence goes on along the minus strand of NC_000008.11, from coordinate 13,983,617 downwards.
AGGGCCGGGCACGGTGGCTCACGCCTGTGATCCCAGCACTTTAGGAGGCCAAGGTGGGCAGATCACGAGGTCAGGAGATCGAGACCATCCTGGCTAACACGGTGAAACCCTGTCTCTACTAAAAATACAAAAAAAAAAAAAATAGCTGGGCGTGATGGCGGGCGCCTGTAGTCCCAGCTACTCGGGAGGCTAAGAAAGGAGAATGGCGTGAACCCGGGAAGTGGAGCTTGCAGTGAGCCGAGATCGTGCCACTGCACTCCAGCCTGGGCAACAGAGCGAGACTCCATCTCAAAAAAATAATAATAATAAAATAAAAAAATAAAACCTAAGAATGAAAATTGATTTAACAAATATTAATAAAAAAAAATTACAATCTTAGATAAGGGAACATTTTAATAAATATCCCTCCTTTTACAACGCCATTGGTGAAACCCCGTACTGCATACCTAAGCAAAATGATCCTATATTATGCAAGAATAACAAAGAAAAAGAAGATTAAAAAGTAAAAATGCATGTACTGAAAAAAGCACATGAAAAATTCAAAGTTTATCAAAAGAGAAATGTAATATTTTATTTAATAATAACTCAAATTGCATTGGCTTGATAGAATTAGAGCAATGTATAATCAAAAAGCTAATTCATGCCTTTGACAGGAAGAATATAAAGAATGCATCTTTTACATTAAATTTGTCTTCTACAGCAACTCCCTAGAAATCTGAGCATGAGCAAAAGAAAACAAAATTATGTGTTTCCTTACATATGGCTTCTACCATTGTTCTACTTTAAATACTAATTTCACCTAATTAGTCCTTGCCTCAAGAATGTACAATAAAAATATATCATCCCAGTGACAAATCCAAGTTATGTTTTGTGTTTGTTTTGCAATTATTAAGTTAAATATTGTATTGGCATATTTTTGGAACAACTACTTAGGCAGCTGCTACTTTTATTTTCTCATTACTTCTCACTTTTTCAGTTTTAAATGGAAGCTGTAACAAATTATGTCCAAACTTTTTCATGCAAATTTTTATTTTTTATTTTTATAGACTATATTATAGAGCAGTTTTAAGTTCACAGCAAAATTGAGTAGAAGGTACAGAAATGTTCCATATAACCCCTACCCCCACACATATATAGACATCATCCCCCACCACAGTGGTACAATTCTTAAAATTGAACCTACATTGACTCATCATTATCACTCAAAATTCATAGTTCACATTAGGGTTCACTTTGAGTGTTGTATATTCTATGGGTTTGGACAAATTATATGATGACATGTGTCCACTATCACAATAGCATACAGAGTAGTTTCACTGCCCCCAAAATCATCTGAGTTCTGCCTGTTCATCCCTCCCACCCCTCTCACACATCCGGTAACCACTGATCTTTTACTGTCTTCATAGTTTTGCCTTTTCTAGAATGTCATATATTTGAAATCGTATAGTATGTAGCCTTTTATATTGGCTTCTGTTACTTAGCAATATGAACTTTGGATTTCTCTATGTCTTTCTCATGGTTTGATAGTGCATTTCTTTTTAGGACTCAATCATATTCCCTTGTGTGGATGAACAAGTTTATTTGTCCATTTGCTTATAGAAAGACATCTTGAGTGCCTTCAATGTTTTGGCATTTATGAATAAAGCCATAAACATCCATGTGCAGATTTTTGCGTGGATGTAAGTTTCCAACTCCTTTAGGTAAATATCAAGGAGCATGATTACCGAACTGTATGGTAAGAATTTATAATTTTGTAAGAAATTACTAAATTATCTTCCAAAATGTCTGCAGTAAGATTTGATGTCGGATAGTATCAGTTCTCCAAATATGTTCTTTTGCATCAATACTGTGTTAGCCATTCGAGGTATTTTGCTTTTCTGCATGAACTTTACGAACAGTTTTTTTATATCTACAAAATAACTTGCTGGGATTTTGATTGGAATCGCATTGTCAAAATCCAGGTTCTTAAGAGCCTCTAGAATTTGTTCTCACATTTTCTTCCTAATTAGTGTCTCCTACTACTCATCCATGTTGCTGTTATGTCCTTTCACAACTGTATTCATTCCATGCTAGTGTAAGAGCACATCAGCATATACTCAAATCCTACTGAATATCCTAACTCCATCTCAGACAATTAGTTCAGCGCCGGTTCACAGCAGTGCTTTTCCATGATAAACACTTTCATTTTGTTTATGATATTTACTTATTATGGTTTAAATTCATGCATGCTTATACTAGAAGTCTTGGAATATTCAGTATACATAAAAAATGTGGGTAAGCAAAAAGAAGTCCATTAAGTTATTCACAATCCCAATGCCGAGAAATATTTATAATTACTCTTTTAGAGTATCTTCAATACTTTTTCTATTACGTTTAGGTGAATGTTTTCTCATTTAAAAGGAGTTTCTGTGGCAAATTAATTGAAAGGCACTGGGCCAACCACAGTAACTGTTCTTTATTAAAAAACACCTCAATGGTTTTTTAAACCACTGCAACCATATGGAACATCTCTGTACCTTCTACTCAATTTTGCTGTGAACTTAAAACTGCTCTATAATATAGTCTATTAAAATAAAAAATAAAAATTTGCATGTAAAAGTTTGGGCATAATTTGTTACAGCTTCCATTTAAAACTGAAAAAATGAGAAGTAATGAGAAGATAATAGTAGCAGCTACCCAAGTAGTTGTTTCAAAATATGCCAATATAATATTTAACTTAATAATTGCAAAACAAACACAAAACATAACTTGGATTTGTCACTAGGATGATTTATTTTTATTGTATGTTCTTGAGGCAAGGACTAATTAGGTAAAATTAATATTTAAAGTAGAACAATGTTAGAAGCCATATGTGAGTAAGGAAACACATAATTTTGTTTTCTTTTGCTCATGCTCAGATTTCTAGGGAGCTGCTGTAGAAGACAAATTTAATGTAAAAGATGCATTCTTTATTTAAACTGACATCATGATAAAAACTGTTTTCATTCTTGCGTCTAAACTCCCTTCCCCACTTTCTTTGTTTGATTTGGTTTGTTTCTTTAGCAACCTACAGAAACACATAATTATTTTAGAATGAATACTTTAACACATCATGAAAGTTGTTTTTACTAACATAACCTACTAACGTAACAGTTGAAAAAAACACATATTTGAAAAAAACAGATATTCAAGACACAGCAGGTAGTTCTGGGACTTACAAAAAAAGAAACAGAACTTGAGTTCAAAGAGGAAAGCAATCTACTTTTATGTAATGCTATTTATATTGCCAAAGAAAAGTAAACTATAAAGACAATGTTTAATGGCATTATTTCAGAAGCTGATAAAAGATGGCATAACCTCTTTGCAATATTTTATCACAAAAGTTAACGTAGACTCAGAGAAGATTGTGATCGTGATTGCACTTTAAGTGAGGAGGATGAATTCATAAGATACCTTTCTGCTATGTAGTTTTTAAGTTCTTAGGAAGAAAACAATGTTACTTAACTTCTTTGTGTTTTATATAATTTCATTTGAATAATAATGAAGCTTAGTCCCCCAGTACATAATTTCAACTATGAGCTGTTAACTTATAACAATGACCTGCTTTTCCCTTGCTCAAAATAACCAAGTAAATGACTAGTAATGTTAGTATTCATTTAAAAACATTTGCCTCAAACTGAATATACACTGCAAAATTATATAACTTTTAACTATATTTAATATTTAGAACCTAATAATTTCCTATTATTTACACATTTACATGTTTTGTGATACACAAACAATAAAACCTGTCAAAGTATTATAAAATATCTACTTTATTGAATAATGTATAATTTTTCAAAAGCAGAAATATTCTTCCCTTTTTATTTTATTTAAATTTCAATAGTAATTAATATGTATTGAAGTCAATTAGGACACTTAAAGAACAATGAAAAAAATAAGGCTAACTTAAACAGTCTGTCTCCTGTAGATATGTATGTATTTGCACATATAGGTCCATGTATATATCTTCCTTAGTATAAGCTGGAAATTTTAAACCCAGCTTTAAATTGTTTAGGAATTTAAATTGCTAAACTAACATCATATATCATCTCTCTCTAGAATAAGTTTGTCCTCTTTTATATTCACATTCAGGTTTCTTTAAGGTTTTTATATTTTTTTATTTTTATACCATGTTAGAAAATTCAGCTGAGATGCTAAGTTTTGAACAGTTACAATGAAATGTAGTCCTACCAAAACAATGAAGTTGTGCTTAAAGAAAAAATACGCCATAGTACTTAAGGTTTTGGCTTTTTTTCTTTTGGCATAATGTGTGCATATAGCTGTTTTATTTGTCACATGAAAGCATCCCTGTGTCCACCTACTGTAATTAAGATACACATAATTATATCATCACAAAGATGTTCCTTGAGAATTGCTTTAAACTCACACTCACTCCCCTCCCAGTTATCCTTAATCACTGCCAACCACTAATTTGTTCTCCATTTCTATGACCTTGTCATTTCATGAATGTTATATGATTACTATTATATGGTAGGAGACTGTTTGAAATTTTCTTTCACTCATTCTAATGCCTTTGAGTTTCATCCAAGTTGTTGTATGTATTAATAATCTATTCCTTTTCATTGCTGGGTAATATTCTATGCTACAAATACAACACAGTTTATTTAACCATTTACATATTGAAGGACATTTTGGTTGTTTTCAGTTCTTGCCTATTACAAATGAAGATGCTTTGAGCAATTATGTACAGGTTTTCTTGTGGTCATAGGTTTTTCTTTCTTTTGGATAAATATCCAGGAGTTGAACTGATGTGTTGCATGGTAAGTACATAATTTAGTTTTTAAAAGAAATGGCTATACTATTATTCAGAGTAGTTGTACAATTTTACATCCCTCCTGCAATAAATAAAAGATTCAGTATCTCTGCACTTTGCCAATGATTGATATTGTCACTTTTGTTAGCTGTTTTGATGTGTGTTTGTTTATTTGCTTTTAAACTGTCAACCTACAAGTGTTGATGTGGTTTGGCTGTGTCCCCACCCAAATCTCATCTTGAATTCCCACATGTTGTGGGAGGGGGAGGGACCCAGTGGGAGGTGGTTGAATCGTGGGGGCAGGTCTTGCCTGTGCTGCTCTCATGGTAGCAAATGGGTCCCATGAGATCTGATGGTTTTAAAAAGGGGAGTTTCCCTGCACAAGCTCTCTTTGCTTGCTGCCATCCATGTAAGATGTGACTTGCTCCTCCTTGCCTTCTGCTATGATTGTGAGGCCTCCCCAGCCATGTGGAACTGTAAGTCCATTAAACCTCTTTTTCTTTCCAGTTTTGGGTATCTTTATCAGCAGCATGAAAATGAACAAATATAAGTATCATTATATATGAAGTGAGTTTCTTATAGACAATATATGTTTGGGTCATTTTTTAGGTCCACTTGTAATTTTCTGTGTTTTACTGTGCATATTTAGATCAATTGCATTCAATATAACTATTGATATGCTATGGTTTAAGTGTGTTTTATTTTCTGTTTTAATTTTTTAATTGTTCTGTTTTCATTTCCCTGTTTCCTACAGGTTGCGTAAATATATTTTAAATTTCTAGTCTGATTAACTACAGTATTTTTCAGTCTATCTTTTTGTTTAGATTTTTTTAACTGGTTGCTCTACGCATTAGGTTATAAACACATAACTTTGCAAAGTCTACATGTGTCGACATTTTACTGGTTCAAGATGTGTATAGAACCTTACCTTTTTTCACCCTCTCTCATTTATAATTGTCTTAAGTATTTTCTCTATACAAATTGAAAACCACATTATACAATGTTTCAATTTTTGCTTCAACCATTAAACATAATTTAGAAAACATGACAAGGAAATTCTACTGTATTTACTTCTATTGTAGTTCTTATTGTATTTTATTGTTTCTTTAATTTTTATTATTTTCTGATGTTCCAGGATTCCATAATTTATCATTTTCATTTCTGTTTAAGGAACTTTCTTTAGCTGTTCATTTATAATATCCCTCATCGTGACAAATTCTCTTAGTTTTTATCACAATATGCCACCATTTTCCCTTATTCTTGAAGAATATTTTCTGAATATAGAATTCTACATTCAGAAAATGGGTTGAGAGTTCTTTGCTTTCAGCCACTTTCTTCCAACCTTTCTTATTTTTTCTTTCAGCCACTTTCTTCCAACCTCTTTCTCATTTTTTCTCTCCCTTTTTCTTGTGTTTTATTTATTTATTTATTTTTTTGAAATGGGGCTCTAGCCAGAACTGGCCTTCACCTCCTGGCCTCAAGCTATCCTCCTGCCTCACTCTCTGGGGTAGCTGGGATTATAGGCACACACTACTGTGCTCAGCCCACCTTCTTCTGATCCATTTCTAATGAGAAATTGTCATGAAGTAGTGCTGCTGCAAGCCAAGGAACATCAAGTTTTAACAGCCACCACCCAGCAAAGAAGAGGCAAGGAAAGATTCTACCCAGAGTATCATTGGAAGCAAGGGCCTAGCAACACCTTAATACAACATTAGACATTACTGCTAAGTGATGGGGATACAATTGGCCTCTATCAACACCTTGGGGATAGGGGTGAGGGGTGGTTACAGTTAAGTGGCTATAAATTCCACCTTGGCAGACACCACCTTGCTGTGAGGAGAAGGGGTGACTCATTACTGTCTCCACCTGGCCTCCACCAACTTGGTGGGAGAAGGTGGCTTTGTTACAGTTGAGCTGTGGTGGGAAGCCTAACTTTTCACTAAGTTTCCTCTGACACTACCCCAGCTCAAGGTGAAGAGATGCCTCATTATCACTAGCTCGATGTACAAGCCCAGCATTCCCAGATGGTCTCCACTAACACTACAGAGTGGGAGTGAAGGGTCTGTACCACCTGGCAGGCATGAAAATCTCCACCCCAACTTCACTTTCTCTGATGCCTCTTTGATAGAGGAGTTGCGGCACCTCATTACAGCTTGGTAAGAGTAGAAGTCTAGCCTCCCCATTCAATCTTTTCTGGTAGAGATGAGAATAGGGTCACCATTTTTTCTGTATGGCTAGAGTGCTTATTGCCTAAAAGTTTTTCATTCTCCTAGATTTTATCTTTTCTGGTCTTTTGGATAGAAAGAGGAGACGCTTTTCTTGGAGTTGTTTGCTTTTGTTTCGTCTGAACCTGTTGCTGTTTTGAGTTGTTGGTTCCTCCAATATATGAGGCAAAAGAAAAGCCAAGATGTCCAGTCAGTCTGCCCTCTTTTCTCTATGTATCACAGGTTTCTTATGCTTCTTTTATGCATAAGGTCCATGGTTTTTAATTGTTTTTAGCAGGAATAATTTTAAAATACACTTAGTCTATGTTCTCAGAAATAGATGTCTCTGAGTTCTATAATTGGAATTATAGCAATAATCTTCATTATATGTTTATTGTCATTGAATTTATCTGGTTCATATTACAGTAAAGACAAAACACCTTTTTGTAATGGCTTAGCCATTCTGTTAGTTTCCCATCATTTAATAACCTTTTTTTTTTCTTTGAGACACCGTCTTGCACTATTGCCCAGGCTGGAGTGCAGTGGTGTGATCTTGACTCACTGCAACCTCTGCCTCCCAGGCTCAAGTGATCCTCCCACCTCAACCTCCCAAGTAGCTAGAACTACAGGTGCATGCCACCATGCCGGCTAATTTTTGTAATTTTTTTTTTTTTTTGGTAGAGATGGGTTTTGCCATGTTGCCCAGGCTGGTCTATAACATATTCTTAAGTTAAAAGATAATTATTTCATTTATTTATACCCTATCTTTTTCTGTACTTTGTCTTTTATAGTTATTATTTTCACTTTCATTCTATTTATGTATTTTTCTTTTATCTCTACCCTCTGGAATAACTTCCTGAACTTGTTTTGTGTAACACTGGTTCAGTTTTTTAGAACATCAAGTACATCAATTTGTTGACTTTATTTCTGGCATCACATGTTAAATGTATCTAAATTTCTTTCTCATTTTATCTGATTATTTTTATGTATATCTTCATTGTTCCTCTCTGTTTTCCCAGAGGCACTATATTTTTCAACATTGTATTAAGAATTCCATAGGTATTTCTAACATTTTTTTTCTGAATGCTGCAGCACTTATTTGAAGAGGTACATTCTGTGAAGTTCATGTAATATTAACATATTTTTATAAATAGCTTTTTTATCAATCTTATGGTTTCTTTTTTCCTCTTAAATAAGATGAGCCAAATTCTGTGCTTGGCATTGCGCACTTTGGTGGGCTTCCTTTTCCCTATTTTCCATCTTATATTGAAATCTTTAAGTAAGTGTCATTGATCTACACCTGGGATTCAGTGCACAGCTAATTCTCAGTAGGTGGCAGGTTCTCAAACCATGTTGTTCTTCTTTAAAAAGGAAATATATTTCCTTATCCTCTCTGTTTGTTCTATCTACCATAATAAAATACCACAGACTGGGTGGCTTAAGGAGCAGAAATTTATTTTCTCACAGTTCTGGAGACCAGACGGCCCTCAGGGTGCCATTAAAGTTGTTTTCTGGTTAAGCTTTCTTCCTGACTTGTAGATGCCTGCCTTCTCATCGTGACCTCCCGTGGCCTCGTCTCTGTGCATGCACACACACACAGAGATCTCTAATGCCTCTTCCTCTTCTTTTAAAGACATTGGTACACTCTTACAACTGAATTTGATCTTAATTACTTCCCTAAAGTCCAATCTCTAAATACAGTCACATTGGGGATTAGGGCTTCAGCATACAAGTTATGTGGGAGAAAAAAGTTCTGCCTGTAACATGCTCCTAATTTGCTGATACTCTAATTTTTAAAATCACATAAAAAGCAATGATTCCTGGTACACACTGTTACCAGGTTTCTTCTCCCCACCCTAACAACAGACGCTTTTTTGTTGGGATTATTTCTCCCATGAAGCAAAAAAAATGCCACGTATATCCACCCCAGTCGTCAGATGGCATGTAAGTATACACAACTTTCTTGTTCATTATTTTCTGGTAGTTCTGCAAAGACAGTGTTTGGGCAACAAAAATATCACTACTTGAGACACCTCAAAAAATAAGTTACACAAGACATAGCTTTCCAGCTTTATGTCAAGCTCTGGTTTCTGAGGTGTTAGATAGCCTTTTCATCTTTCATGCCACTTGAATTTCTTTTTTAGTCATTATCTTTCATGAGGAAACTGTTGGTGAACAGAATGGGAAAATATGCTGGTTTCCTTAAACTGAACATGGTTTTTTAAGTAATTATTTAAGCTTTCTTTCCTAATCCCTCCTCAGATTTCTCTTACTTTTGTATTATGGTGTGTTGGTTTTCATTTTGGGAAGTTAGGAAAGATTATGTTCAGTATTCTTACACATTCGCCATTGAAAAGAAAATATTAGGGAAATAAAATAGCTTTAACTGCTGAACATTTAAGCCACACAAGTTTAAAATTTCAATTGACCAACAACACAACCACTGTCCACATCATAAACCTGTATCATGAGGAGATTTTCATCTATAATTACAGCAGAGAGAAAATAAGACTTTGCGATCTTCCTTGAGTTTGAAAATCTTATTTTAGGAACAAGATATAAATGGGCAAGAAGCAATTAAAAAGTAGCAAATACTCAGGGAATAGCTGTATGTTGCTACATGAGAGCTGAGGAAACACATCAGAGTGTATTCAAGCTTCATCTACAGAATCCTTTGGCAGAAGGTACGCCTTAAAACTATTGGATTTTTCGCGACACAGTGTTTTTCCTGCCAGGAAGTAGCAGTTTAATTGGACTGGTAAAAAATAAAAATTAAAAAATTAAAAAATTAAAAAAAATTGCTGTCTTTCTGCAGAGTTTTGCAGCAATTCTCTTTGTCTTCCAGAGACCAAAGGAAATACTGCACCATGGGGAAGAGGCCTATATTGTACAATGACAGAAAACAACTGGGCATTTACCTTCAGTTCTATTTATTATCATCATACATTTTATAATGCCTCAGCCAAGCAGAGGGAAAAATAGTCTGGCTGGGCCACCTCAAGCAATTATCTGGTAACAAATCAACCCATCCTCACTATGACCTTAAAAAGAATTATTCCTCTTGTATAATTCTTTACAATTTGAAATTTATTTTCAAAACTATTCAAAAAATCAAATTTGAATGTTCTCACTGGGAAAAAAATGGCAAGTATGTAAGGTGATGGATAAGTGAATTAGGTTGATATGATAATTACACAATGTATACATATATATAACAAAACATCACATTGTATCCGATAAATGTAGCCAATTATTGCTTGTCAATTAAAAATAAAAATTTACACAAAGCTTTGTTTTAAAGAATGATTTCTTATATCAAAGGCCCAAAACTTATTTCAAGTGTCTTTGAATAAACAAAAGGAGGAAAAAAAACAAAATCTGGTGTTTTTGTAGTTTTCTTCACACAAACTATTTGAATTCAAATCCACTGAATCAACAAATAATAGTTATGATGTTAAATGTGAGTGTATATGTGTAAAATAATCAGGGTGTGAGTTATGAGAATATGCGATTTGATAATCTTGTTAAATGTTAGCATTGAAAGGTGTAGGCCACTTTTGTATTCTTCAAGAATGGACCTAATCTGCAATTTGACAGAATGAAAAATATTCACAGATATTTACCCGCTTGTTATATTTAATTTTTCATGTTTCAATATTTTAAAAATTAATGAAGTAATATGACATATCTTTAAATCAATTATCCAAATAAGGTATTACAAACATTAAACAATTAAAAACTTTTCAAAATTAGTACTGAATTTAACAGTGTTCATTGTTTGATGAATATAATTATGGTCTTCTATTTATATAAATAGAAATGATATAATAGCTAATTATAATCATAAAATACAGGGAATGATTTTAAATAGCCCAGACTATTATAAGAGAGAAATGTACTTAGAGAAGGGGAGATATATTGCTCCAAAATTATAGCTACTGCTTTCCTTGGGATTTCAAAATAGTGCTCAAAGGAATTTGTCTACTTAAATAAAAAGAAGCAGTTTAGCATGAAGCACCAATGCCTTTCAATGCTACTGATCTATGCACTCTCTTGGAATTCCTAAACTGTGATAGAAAATTCATTTCACACTTGTTTACTCTGATAAAATTCATAACTGAATTGTTTAAAAATGTTGAAAACAGAGAATGATTATTGGAATGCTCCAAAGTGTGGGGCACATTGGAATAAAAGTAGGCCTCCAAGCAACTATGAAGCTGGCCAACCTCCCTATGTTGAGCTGCCTGGAATATTGTTAAAGCTGGATACGGCACATAGTTTGCCAACTGGAACAAATATAAAAACATAAAAATTAACTTGTATGTATAAAACATAAAAATTGCATAAATAAAACAAACATTAAATTATTAATAACACATTTACAGATATGCATATGCAAAAGTGCATTGGAAAAATTAACATCAAATGTTAGGCTTCCCTGATGCTAATTCTCCCCGCCACATTCATCAGTAACTGATAATACAACTCTTCTCCAGGATTCATTTCCTGCCTATGCATACATTTAAGGATAAAAGAGTTCCAGGTTAGTTCTTGTATTTTTTCTGTGTATATTTCTTAAGAACTGCTGTTTTACATCCTGGGGTTATCAGGGATTTTTTAAAATCCCGCAGTTTGGGGAATAACAGTATATGGAATTGACGTTCATGCTGTTATTCTTTTCTGATTTTTCATTCACAATTCTCTAACCACTTTTGACATTTCCTAGCTTGAACTCTTCTTCCACTAATTCTTTAAATATCAATAATCCTCATTGCTTCATTTCTAAACGTATATTCTTGTCATCCTGTGCTCATATTGCAAACTGATTACTGGACATCCCCACCACTGACTCGAAAAGTTAAGCTTTTTTTTTAACCTAGAAATACACTACCTATTTTATTTTTCTGCAATCTTAATTATAAATGAGACATCATTGTCAGTCATCCAAGCTAAAATCATTAGACTTTTTTTAAAAAAAACTCTCCTTGCTAACATCAAAGTTATGAATATTGGTCCATATACTCACCTTATAATATATGGAATTATTCAACAATTTTTTTCATTACCATTGCCTATGTCATAGTTGATAATTTCACACTGAAATTTCTACAACGGCATATCAACAGATTTCCCTAATGCTAAGTATTACCCTCCTTACTCCATTCTTCAGATTATAGCCCAAGTAGACTTTCTGAATTGAAATTTGATTAAATAATTTCTCTGTTTCAAGCTATTAACTGCTCCCCAGTTTCTTCTGGAAGAAGTCCAAATGTATTAAGACAGTAGTCAGTATCCTATATGATTTGATTCAAACCTTTCTTCCAATATCATCAACCACTGATTTTCCTTTGTCTCTCTCTTTCCTTGTTAACAATTTTACTATTTGCCCTAGTCACATAAACTATATGTTTTGTTTTGTTTCTTTCCTGACCACTCTTCTGTAGTGACCAAAATTTGGCCATTTCTGTTCATTGCTCGTGTGCACAGTACACAACATTGAAAGTACATGTTTTCATATCTGCATTCCTAAGTCCAAGAGTACCGTCAGAGTGGGAATGATGCTTGCTTATGCCTGAATCCCTAGATTTTATAGTATCTAGGGATACATGCCTGGCATCATGTAGGTTCTCAATAAATATTCATTGAATCAATTAATTAAGCAAAGAAAAATATACCGTACTATCAAGCGATTTACAAACTTGAGAAAATATCCTACAGTTAGACGGTCTGTTATTGCTACCATTTGGAGATCTCATAATACAACGGTATCTAACCTGGAGTTTTGCCTCAATGTTATTTTTCCTCTTGACTACTCAGTATTTTCAAGACATCTCAATGTAATACACGCCTCTAATGAATTTATGAATCAGTGTGTGATCTTGAGACTTACAGTACTGAAACCAATCTTAAACATTCTTAGAAGCAGCAAAAGATTATTACTTCATGAGAGTCAGCTAATATCTAGAGAAGAAACAAATTATCAATTAAAATGCTTCCAGTTTCCTCAGGTGAAAATAAGTGGTACTAAAGAACTAAATTTGAAGTGTATTGTAGCTTTTCACTTAATTTTCCCCAAACAGGTAAGGTAATAAATGCCTCAGTCTTTTCCCACTCTTGTGAATTTATTCACATTTTTCTTACACACTCTATTCTCTGACCCCTGATTCAATTGGAGTTAACAGGCTTCAGTGACTTTTATCATTGTTTCACGGGCTAGGCCTGTGATAAGAAAATATTTATACTATAATTACAGATATTGAAGAAAAATAAAATGCTACTTAAAGAAATTCCTTTAAAATTTTTGGTATTTAAGCAGCTGAGATCAACAGCTTACAACAATTTTTGAGTGCTACCCACTTTTGTCTCAGACTGTACATACACAAACATACACATATAGAAAATTAATAAAGTTTCAGAAAAGTATATTTAATTTTTTAATCTAAGTAAGAAAATGCTGATGATTAAGCATAAAATTGATTTCATAAGCTGTTAATGGATTGATCCTTGTAGCACATACAACAAACTTACATGATCTGATTTGTAGTTGTAAATGCCAAATATTTATTTTCTCTTCATTTTCCATACGGAAAGTGAGCAAAATTATGAAGCTCTACTGAAATATACATCATCTTACTGCCAGCTGTATATAATCAGAATGTTTTAGCCTAAGAAATAAGCAGCCTCTTCATGGTTTTGGCTAGGGGCAAGTCTCTCACTAAGCAGCAGGGTTGGATAAAGCCACTGGCTCTATGGACATATGCCCTTCGCCCTTTGCAATGAACTGGCCTTTCTGGCTGTAAAGAAGCTTGACTATTTGTTTTGTTTTTTTAGCAGTACCAACAGCCATAGCATTTGTGTTGGGTGGTTTTGGGATGAAAATACGCACGCACACACACACATACACACATATACATGTACACATATATGTGCATATTTCCTGACATCTTCATTAGTCACTTTTGTCTCAGTGATTATCCTTGCTTTGGAGTTAAGTTAGAGGGCCATGGTGGCCTGATGAGCTAGTAAAGCTTAACTGTATCTTGTAGTCGTTAGAAGAGAATATGTGCATTAACATGCCTTGCTGTTATCAAGTAACTCACTTTACAACCCTGGTGGCTCTTAATTCCCATTGCAATAATATTTTTTCTACATTGCTGGAATCAATTGACCAGTTTCTTAATTGTCTCCTGTAGGTTACTTTGACAATCCTTGTCTGTCTTCCAGGAGCATAGGGCAGTTGTTTTCAAACTCTTTCTTTCTTTCTTTCTTCTTTTCTGAGACAAAGTATCACTCTGTCACCCAGCCTCGAGTAAAATGGAGTGATCTCGGCTCACTGCAACCTCCTCCTCCTGAGTTCAAGTGATTCTCCCTGCCTCAGTCTCCCGAGTAGCTGAGATTACAGGCACACACCACCACGCCTGGCTAATTTTTGTATTTTTTTAGTAGAGTTGGGGTTTCACTATGTTGGCCAGGCTAGTCTCGAACTCCTGACTTCAGGTGATCTGCCCACCTCGGCCTCCCAAAGTGCTGGGATTTCATGTATGAACCACCATACCTGACCTCAAACTCTTTTTTCTTTTTATTATTTTAAGCTCAGGGTTACATGTGCAAGTGCGTTATACAAGTAAACTCTTATCGACTGCTGAACAGAGTATGAAATACTCGCCCCAGCCTCAACAGCTCCTAGTTACTCCTATTGAAGGTACTGGTAGGATTGTAGCAATTAACCCATAGGCTAGTAACCCCAAAATCCAGGTAGAAACAAGAAAACTTTGGTCCATCTTAAATTCTTCTTCCCCTAAACTATTGAGATAATTTTCCATTTTGTGCCCCCCACCCCACCCCAAACTTAAGTCAGGGGGAAAATATGGTAGGTCAATCATACCATGACACTGCATGTTGCTTTGTTATTGTCCAGATTGGAGTAAACAGTTGAGGAGATGCCAACGACAAATTGGTAATTACATTAACTATACCCTACTTTTCTAAGGTGAGTATTTACCATGGAATCAGATGCTCCTGCTCTTTTCTTGAACTGAATTTGAGTCTGTCTTAAAACAAAATTTCCCCAACAGTCTCTAGTAGTCACTTTCATTTCTTCTATAGCATTTCTATGGGAAAATGCAGCCTGATTTTTTGGTGATCAGATGACCCTTGTTAAATTGCACATTTGCTGTGGCTCTTAGAAATAACTCATTCCAATCAAGTGACATATCTGGATGGAATGAAGAAGCAGGGAAGTCATTGTTTACCCTCTGATGGTAGAGGAGCTGACTGTTGTATAGTCACTCGTCATGGCAGGCTTTATTTTTGTTTACAAAAGAACACATATAAATTTGAATTAATCTCCTACAGATAGAAAGTTTTCTGCAAGGAACATGGTCTACAGCTAATCTCTAGCCACGTGAACTCTAGGTGTATACATACAAATATATGTTTATATAGACACATATATGTAAATATATAAAGTATATATATATTAATAGAATAATGTTACTTTCTGGCAATAATACTTAAAAGGGACTTAGTCCAAATCAGATTCTTAGTTTTAGATCCCTGTATACCTTGGCATTTAAGCAACATAGATCTTTTTGAAGTGTTATCTCAGAAAATAATATACAGGAGTAAGGACAAGAGATAGGTGATGGAAGGCAGCCAAAAAAACAAGTACATTATCCAGCCATTTAGCATAATTATCAAAAGGAGTTGGATCCACTGGGAGACTCTGGGATCTAATATAGAGCCTGGGCCACAGAGTTATCCCGCTCAAGGGGTGGGGGAGCTGGTGTATTTATACACCAACTTCTGCTATACATTCAGTGACAGCCATTCCTGTGAAACATGAATTTCTTTTTACCTCTGACATTAATTCTTCAAATAAAGTTATGCTGTTCTAATATTTAAAAAAGCTCTGTGAATACTAGAACAAAAAGGTCCAAGTGTCAAAAACAGCTATTTTAGACAGGATCACTCTCTCTAAAATAAGAGAAAGGATGTTGGGGATCCAGAGGATGACAAGGGGAACTAAGAAGTATGCATCTGAGCAGTCCAGCTGAGGGCTTCATCTCTTATTCTGAATGTGTCCTACGAAAATGAGTTCATTTACTTAAATTCCTCCACCAGATTCTAATGAGCAACGCATATTTGTTCTACCATCTTCTCTTCCTTTATTGCACCCCTTTAGTTCTGTACTATATCTTCTTCCCAAATGTTCTTGAGGTCCAACGGGCTAATGTTGATATAAACAATTTGTCTTTTGTAATACTCCAATGTTTATTTATTTATTTTTTGACCAGGAGATAGGGAGAAAGGTGATAAGAGCAATAAGGTTCTTTGTTCCATCTATGGGTTCCTTGACTTTAGTGACTATTGCTAGACAAAACACTTTGCTTCCAAATTTCTGATCCAGCCCTCTTGATATCTTTTAGTTTATGTCTGTAACAATGAGGCTCCAGTCCATTTAAATCTGATTTTGAATTTTTTTTTTTTTTTTTTTTTTTTTGCAGTAAAGACTTTTAACTTTGTTAGCTGCGGGAGGCAGTAGGCTGAAAAACCTACATTGGGCTGGAATCAGAAGGATGTATTAGGGATCTCTTTCTTTTATTCTAAGTTGAATTTAGGAGACCTGCAGCCTTGGATCCTGTAAGGTGCAGGAGTAGGGGTAGGGAAAAGTCATAGGCAGCACAGCACAGACTTTTCTTGTCACGAACAGTCATGATCTGTCATTTGTGCTCATGTTGGTCTTCTTTAGGGAGCATTTTATGGACTCCTTGTAGATGTCCCCTCTGTTAACCTCTGTTGTAGCTTCTTTGTCTCAGAGAGTGCTTTCTCTATGACAAGCTGCATATGAGGTTGAATTTCGTCCAACAAAACAGCAACAGCTTTTTTCTGTTAATGTCATTTCATCCCTGGAAGGACAATCTTTTGGATGATATATCTTTTACAACCACACACATGATGGCTTCTTCCCTATGTGACCCACAGTGAACTGCAAGGAACTATGCACACTGTTGTGCCTTCAGGGGCAGTGCTCTGCCTTCCAATATATCCCACTCTTTTTACTTTCCACCAAAGAGAGAGCGACAGCCACAGTCTTTCCCTTTAAAATTTTCTCAGTATGGGTTACAACAGAAATTGGTTCTTTCTAAGCTTTTTAGGACATATTTATTATGTCTTTGTTAGCCCTTAAAAACTCTCTAGCTTTAATAGAGGGAAGGGCTAAGAATTCCCTTCCTACCCTCTCAGAAGCTACATTGGAAAAGTGCTGTAATACTCCAATAGCATTCACCAAAGGCATTTCTTCTTAATTTCTGCCCTTGATGGCTGAATCCCTACCTTTACTTGCATTGTCTAAAAATGGTTAATTAGTGTGACAGTTAATTTTACATGCCAACTTGACTAGCCATAGGGTGTCCATATGAAATATTATTTCTGGGTGTGACTGCAAGCATGTTTCAGGATGCAATTAACATTTGAATTGGAGGTCTCAGTAAAGCAGATGGCCCTCCCCAGTGTGAGTGGGCATCATCCAATCTGTCAAGGGTCTGAATAGAACGAAAGGCAGAGGAAGACAGCATTCACCTCTTTTTTCCTTCCTGCATGACTATTTGGGCTGGGACATCTCATTTCATCTTCTCAGGCCCTTGGACTGGGATTTACACCATTGACTCCTCTGGCTCTTAGGCCCTCACACTTGCACTGAATTATACCACTGGCTTTCTGGGTCTCCAGCTTGCAGACACCTTATCCTGGGACTTGTCAGCCGTCATAATTGTGTGAGCTAATTCTTCATTTTATATCTCATTTTGTATACATATAAATCTCCTACTTGGTTTTGGGAGGGAGGGAGGATGGAAGATAGATAGATAGATAGATAGATAGATAGATAGATAGATAGATCTTATTAGTTCTATTTCTCTGGAGAAGGATTACTAATACAATTAGTAAGTGTCACAAATTTATTTATAGAAAGTCTGTAACATTTATAATGCTTTAGCCTCTAATTCTGGAATTGGGAGGAGTTGACACCTATTGTCACTGCTCCAATGTAAATGAGAAACAAGAGAGAGACCCATTGTAACATTCCATTAGATTGGCTTAAGCCATTTATCTATACCCCCCCTTCACTTAGGAAAAAATTCAACCTGGCAAGGACAAGAGAATATATGGAGCTGAAGATGGGACAGAGTGTTCACATTAAAGTGGAATAATTTCAAAAAAAAAATGAAAAAGTGAGGACATTTCAATGTTTTCATATTTAGAAAATGAAAGCTTCATATAATAATGTTATAATATTTTCCATGAAATGGGTACAGAATATTCAATCTTTTCCTTAGTGTCACCTAATTTTTTATTATTATTGACAGTGGCTATGCCTAAGGCCTCCGTTACTGTTTATAGTACTGTTACAGATTTGTACCAAAGAAACACAGAGATTCTTAGAAATCCTGTATTTATGGCACATTAATAACTGTATATGCACATTACTTAGTATATGCTTTTGGGAAGTAACTTCTGTTTTGACTTGTTGTGAATGACAACAGAATTCTCCATGTACAATTGTACCTAAATGAAGTTTGGAGGAATTTTCCACAGACTAGTTTTCAGCTCCATGTATTCAAGTCCTTTCGTCTCCCCCACCACCCACAAGTTTCCAGTTATGCACACCTTAGGACACATTCAAGTTTGAAAGCAACCTATGCTCTTGCCTCTTTCTGTCACAATACTAAGTGAGTTGACAGTGGAAGGTGGTAGGTTTCCCAGTAGTCATTTCTACACTGGAACAGCTAGAAACAACTTAACTACATGTGGAAATGACTGTGAAGCACATCACTACATCCTATGAAATCCAAACTACAGGCTGTATCTCTGACTCACTTTCTCCTGCCTGGATATCAGCAAATACACGTGGCCACTCCAAAGGTATCTGGTATGAGGGAAAGTACAGTGAAGAAAGTTGCATGGAACAAGTCACTGGCATTCATTCAATGTGGTAAATTATTTTATTTTTGCAAAGTTGTAGAAACATATGACTGTCAAAACACATAGGCTAGGCCACTGCTAACAAGGGAAAGAATCTGTACATGTGAGAGCCCCTAACACTTAAGGTTCATTCATTTCATGAAAAATGTAATAAAAATATCAAGGTAAGACTTTTAATTTGTTTGCTTAGATAAGATTTACTAATGCTGGCTTATGAACAGAGCAGGAAGAAGGTGCACATGATCCTCAAGCACCCAGATTTGTGGCTGGGTAGGCAAAGCTGGGCGTGTTGCAAAGAACTCAAAAAGATGTTACAACTCTTTATCATTTGACTACCCATTGTTAATTTGTTGCCAAAAATATTTGCCCATGCAAAATTTTACAACTCATGTTTATTTGGGGGTAATAATTGAAATCGTATAATTACTCATCACAACTATTTATTTTTAGATAAAACATGTTGCTGTTACCTAGTTTCCTATTCAACAGGAACTTCTCTTTTGTGCCAACCTTACATTCAGGGAATGTTCCTTCCATTTTATATTCTAGGCCCTGTGAGGAAATAGAGGATATAGAAGAGGAAAGATAATCAATAATCTCTAGATTACAACCAAACCACTCTAGGGCAAAGTAAAGGTATGGCTGTATTATCTACAAAAGTCTTTTCTCTATCAAGCAAAGAGGATTAACAGCTACTAGGAAATCTAAGGTCTTAGGTGAAATGAAGCACAGTATATTACAAAGTTTATGTGTGATGTTCAGAGCAATTTTGTTCTTCAGGAAACCTTGGATCTTGGTTAACAACATTTTAAATTTTGAAGTCAAAGCACAAACTGTAGCAAAATCTCAGCAAAAGGCTTTCCAAGGATCTCATGAAGTAAACAAAATATATTGTGTGCTAAGTAAAATGCTAAAGGGAATTTCTTCTTTTAATATTTATGACATAATTCTGTGAAGGTCACTATAATCATTTCACGCATATTAAGACTTCCCCAAGTATATCAATTAGGCTGTTTAAATATTTAGATAATTATTAAGAAAATGTTAAAATGTAAGATGTTCATCAAATACTATATATTTTAATTTTAGGTTTAAATTATTTATTTTAGGTATATTTATTTTAGGTTTATTAAATTAATATCATGGTTGAGAACATAGGCTGTGAAATCATAGTGTTCTTGGAACAAACCTTGGCTTCACTATTTATTGTTGGTAAAATTTTAGCAAAACGCTTTAGCTCATTTTTTAATGGTGATATTAATACACCCATGAAGATGTTGGACATTAACATTAAGCAACTATAGCTCTTGGACCAGAGTCTGAAACATTATCAATGAGAACTTAGATTACACAGGGTGAGAAATAATGTTATACCCTCAGAGAGATTTTCATATAAATAGGCTTAAAATTTTTTAAGCATTTAAATTTACTCCAAAGAAAGGAAACTGTAATGTTGATACTATTTCTATAATCCATAACTACTCTGATAGTCTTAAGGAAAAATTATAAATTCAACAATAAAAATGTATACATACTTCTGAGAAATTCAAATAATTTCAAAGAAATATGCATTCCTGATTCACTGATTAACCATCACATATGGCCTATTTTTAGAATTTTTTTTAACACAGATGCATAATACACAAACGTGTGCACAGCTATGTTTATCAGAAAGAGGATAATGTCATATATACTGCTTTGTACCATGATTTTTTTCTGTCTAGAACAAAACATGTTCTAGACATGCGCAAATATATCTTTCTTAAAAGTAACTATGAGATGTTTTTATTTTAGTTAATTATTTCCCTCTTAAGAATATCTGACTTATCACTAATATTTGCTATTAGACAAAATGATGCATTGGATAGCATTTGTAGTGGAAATGTCACATTTAGTATGCTAATAAGTTACCTGGACCTGCGTGAACATTTTCACAGGTGAAACTGATCACAGATTTTATTTCCTTATCTGTGTCTAGGCTTCTATCATTTATTCAGCTGTGTAACATCAATTCAGTCTCATATATCTATTTCTATGATCTGAAACAGTCTCTAAATATAAATAGCATTAGGATTTATGTTCTCAAAGATTTGATAAAACTTATGCCCAAACCATTTGGCCCTGGTTACTTAGGAAGGCAGAGAGAGAAGGTGACATAGTGAGCTGGAGGAACAATAGATGTTTCTATTTCCTGCAATTCTCAATTTTAAAAAATTGTTTCATTATTAATATATTATTTTATACTGACAAATATGTATTATTCTATTTTCTGTACCCTAATGACAAGAAAATCCAATTTTTTTGTGAATCTACCAGATCAAATTTTTAACTAAGGTAACTAGTATTAACATATACACTTGCGACAGTATCAGTACTCCCCAAATAACAGCCTCTCTCCAAAATAGAGGACCTTTAATGTACTTTATCTCAAGCTTCATTTCTCACTTTTGTATCCTTATCTGCAATTTTATATCAGATTATTTTATAAGTTTACACTGTAATTTTATTTTATATTAACCTCAGTTTATTCATAGCATTATATTGAAAAGGTCTAAACGTAGGAATCAGAGTCCACTAAATTTTTTTAGATTTTTTGATTGACAAATGTTTCATCAGATAAAAGAAATCTTTAACTTTTAGAGCTCCTTACAAAGGACAGTCTCACTTGTGAATTCAATAATTGTGAAAAGAACTTCCTGAGATAGGCAGAGCGGGCATGTTTAGCCCAGATTCATAGAGGGACAAACCAAAGTTCAGTGACTCCAAGAAAATTGGATGAGTACCACATGTTCAGGTAATTCCTAATCCAAGACACTCTCTTGAGCCTAGAATTAACCACAGTGAAAGTATAAATTTGGGGTTTTGTCCTTCATTGGTGTTGTATTCCTTGGGCACTCAAGAGGGAATAAAGGAGTTCCGATGAGCCTGCTGGAGTGTGTGTTCATCAGGACTAACATGGAGCATGGGGATTGTGATGGTTGCCTTGTGCACTAGGAACCAGTCCAGTGTGTTATAATCATGCTGAAGTTTCCTCTCCTGACACCTAGTGTCCCACTGGGTATTGAGGAGTTGAAACACAGGAAGGGAGAAAGCAGAGAACATCCATGAATTCAGAACAAGTCAGGCCAATAAACCTAAAGCCAACAGGGAATCTTGAATATGCCACAGAATATAGACTAACATTTAATAAATGTTGAACAAAAATAATGTTCAGGTTTTACTTACTTCTAAAGACTTGCAGAAAAGAAAAAATGAAATGTATTTGGCTTATAAATTTTCTGACTTCTTGGATGTCTGAAAATATCTTTCTATCAAACTTGAAAAAAACATTGGCCCATTTAAGACAGAACTACACTATTTTCCCCAGTGCCTTGTTCCGCTGTTTCTTATTTCCCAATTGTATTAGTCTGGGTTTTCCAGAGAATAGAACCAATAGAAAATGTATATATTTCCTACAGAGAGAGAGATTTACTATAAGGATTTGGCTTACATGGTCATGGATGCTGAGAAATCCCAAGATCTATAGTAGGCAAACTGAAGACCCAGGAGAGACAATGGTAGAATTCCAGTCTATGTCCAAGTCAAAAGGCATGAAAAAAACCATTGTATCAGATTAAAGACCATCAGGTAGAGAAAACTAATCTCTCTTACTTTTGTTCAGTTTAGGTCTTCTGTGAATTGGATGAGGCCCAACCACACTGGGAAGGGCAAACTGCTTTAGAGTCTACTGGTTCAAATGTGTATCTCATCCAGAAACACCCTTTCAGACACATATGGAATAAAGTTTAACCAAATATGTGAGTACCTTACTGCCCAATCAAGTTGACACATAAAATTAACCATTGCAAGCCTACCCCTTGTCCACTTGGCACCCATCTGTTACAGGTAGACAGGCATGAGCAGGGCAGGAGAGGGCTCTCCCCCACCCACCAGAAATGTCAGGTGATGGTTGGCAATGATCATATTACCTTTCTAAAAGGGATAAATTGGCAGCTTGTGCCAAGGAGAAACCAATTTGTAATGGTCCACAGCTATTAACACTAAAGTGTTAATTGAATGCAGATGCCAGGGAGAAGAAAATTCCTGCGCATGCACATTAAGAGACAAAAATGGCAGAGTATCATTTCCAGAGGCACTCCACTGGAAAAGGAAAGAAAGCCTCAGATGGGCGTATACACAACTTCCTAAACACACCACACATGCTCACTTCCCAAGGGTAGGGAGGGCACTACACATGTGGGCAGCCCACCCTAAAGGAAGAAACATGGAAAAGGGGGGTAAGATGCCTGAAGGGGACATACTATAAAGTCCTAGAATCAAGGTTAAATGGTGCATTTGGTTTCTCAAGCAGTCCACCTGGCCTTCTTCCAAGCCTACTTTCTCCTTTCTTTCCTTTCCTTTCTTTTCTTACTGTGCTAAAGCTTTTTAATAAACTTCCACGCCTGCTCTGAAACTTGCCTTGGTCTCTTTTTCTGCCTTATGCCCCTCAGTTGAATTCTTTCTTTAGAGGACGCAAGAATTGAGGTTGCTGTAGACCCATAGGGATTTGTCTCCCATAACTTGGATGCCTTCCACTGGTAACACATCCATATCTGTTTAAATCACACTTAATCTTCAAATAAAGACAATAACAAGGTCACAGGTCTGCCTAAAATCAAGGAACTATCCTGCATACAATAATAAGTGCACTAACCCCTTCCACAGAAGGGGATTGAAAATTCTTGAGTGGCCTTGACTCTTTTCCTTGATAACCCATAACTTAAAGACTATACGATGTAAAATTTAAAATATTTAAATACCATTATATAAAGTCAATATATTTTATGATACATATCAAGGAAATAAAAGAGGACAAAGATACTTGATATATAAATTCACACACACACACACACACACACACACACACACATCCATAACAAATAAGTAGGAAATTCTCATGCCTATTACAGCACTTATTTCTGTAATTGGCCTCACAATCATATTTGGTATTTATAACAACCCTTCTTTCACTACTCATTCCATACACCCTTTTTCCTAAGCAAGTACCAAAGCTGGTGATGATTCTTTAATTGTTTGAGTAACCTAAAACTTCATTTCTAAAGGGTCTGGGCCATTAGTAGTTCTGCCTATATTGCATTATTATAGGTTTCCATTGACCTTAAGTCACAGAGCATGGTAACATTAAGACACCATAAGGGATGATCTCCTGTATTCTAAATATACTCTTCCTTTGTACAGGAGTTTTGACTGTACAGTAGCTGTTTAATTTCCCCTTGGTAGCCAGCATTAAGCCAACTAGTGCAGTAACTCTCTTCATTACCAGATGTTTCAGAGCTATGAAGAGTCTAAGGTATTCAGGTGGCAGTCTTAACTTCCAGTTTAATGGAATCACTGCTGTCAGTCTTTGTGGAGGCATTTCTCCCTGTGAAACTCAGATCTCTAGGTCAGCATAGCAGAAGGTCATGAGAATGTGAAGCAAAAACTTGCTAGTGAGTCACTAAGGGTAATGGCGAATGGTGCCACTCCCATTTTAACCCTTGAGTTCTGGACCCATGAATCCTGGCTACAGGAGAAATAGCACTGTATATCACTGTATATCGGATGCTAATTCAGAGCACATACAGCCAAATAGAAAATCTTGCCCCAGCCCTGCAAGGTATTTACAACTAGATACCTCTGTACTTGAGTCTTCAAAAGCCTGTTCCACTGACTTATCAAGCCAGCTCCTTCAGGATGGTGGGGAGCATGGTAAGAACATTGAGTTCAATGATTATAAGCTCACTGCCACACTTCCTTTGCTTTGAAGTAACTTTGTGGATTAGAAGCATTGCTACATGGAATACGATGGTGGATAAGGCATTCAATAAGTCCACAGATAGTAGCTTTGGCATGGCAGAAGCACTGTTTTCTGGGAAGGCAAATCCATATCCAAAGTATGTGGCTATTTCAATAAGAACAAAATATCTTCCCTTCCATAACTGAAGTGGTCAAATGGTAATCAACCTATCAACAAGTAGCTGGCTGATTACCCCAGGGAATGATGTCATATTGGGCATGTTGGACACTCAGCATCGGTTTCTGCTGCTGGCAGATTGGACACCCAGCAGTGTGACCATACCCACGTGGCCTTTGGTGAATTGAAGTCCATGTTGCTGAGCCCATGCATAACCTCTATCCCTGCTACCATGGCCACTTTGTTCATGAGCCTATTGGGTAATGACAAGGGTGACTTGTGAAGTAGGTTGACTGGTATCCACAGGATGGGGGTCATCCTATCTACTTCATTATAATCCTCCTCTGCTGAGGACACCTTTTGTTGAGCATGCATGTTGATCAAAAATATGTTCAGGGTTTTTCGTCTATTAAGATAAGTCAATTCACATAATTCTTTCACAAATTTCCTTGTCATTAATTTTCCATTTATGTTCCTTCCAAGTCCCTGGCCGTCCACCCAAACCACTGGCTAGAGTCCATGAATCAGTATGTAGTCAACATGTGGTCATTGCTCCTTCCAAGTAGAGTGAACAACCAGATGCACTGCACAAATTTCTGCCTTCTAGGAGAATTTCTCCACACCACTGTCCTCCAGGGATGTCTCAGTAAGAGGCTACAGCGCTCATAGAGACATAGTTTTGAGTATATGTAGGCATCACTCAAAAACAGTGGGCCTTAAATTTTTGTCATATTTACTTCCCACCTTCTGACATACTAATGTCTTCCAATAACTGGAGTAATTGCTATTTATTGCTCACTAGATCTAACAGCATAATGTTATTAAAGTAATAGACAAATGTGATAAGCTGCCTGCTTCTGAGTGGTACCTACATATATGCAAAGCTATGTATAAACCAGGCCTTAATCTTCTCTTCTTCTGACAGGTGATCATAGCAAAAACTCCATGAAACTATGGTAATGTAGCAGGAGTGGGGACCATGGAGACTTGGGACACTTTTTCATGCAACTTACTTGTATTTTTAGGGTACGCATGGGCCTTATCAGATATATACCACTTCTGTTGATGATTAAGTGTTGTGCTGCTGTGCACACCCAACTTTATGGCTTAGATAATATCCAGTTCATAATGAGATGCTCAGGTCATGTGATGACATTAATTTGGTGCCCATGGTTAAATTTTCAGTCTCTACTAAGTAGCAGGTATAAAGCTGTTTCTTAGTAGAGGAATAGTTATATGAGGAGAATGGCAGACCTTTGCTCCAAAATCCTAAGGGACTAACTGTGATTCATCTGTAGAGGCCTGGCAAAGTATTCAGACAGTACCCTTATCAGCCACTGATACTTCAGGCACCACTGGATCGCATGAATCACATAGCTAAAGCTGCAGAGTAGTTTGCTTAGCAGTCTAGATCTGTTGCAGAGCCTTCTCTTGTTCTGGGACCCACTCAAAATTAGCAGTTTTTTAGGTTGCTTAGTAAATGGACCAGAATAACACACCCACATGATGAATGTGTTGCATGTGAAATCCAGAGGCCTGCTAGGTATTGTGCCTCTTTTTAGGTGTAGAATGAGCAAGATACAACAACTTACTCTGCACCTTAAAAGGGGTATCTTGACATGACTGCACGCCACACTGAAACTCTGGAAATTTCACAGAGGTAGAAGCCCCTCAAATTTTGTCATATTTATTTCCCACCTTCTGACATATAAATGTCTTCCAATTACTCTGGAGTAATTGCTATTTATTGCTTACTAGATCTAACAGCATAATGTTATTAAGGTGACAGACAAATGTGATAATCTCATGGAAGGGAAAGAAAATCAAGATCCATGTGAACTGAATTATGACACAAGGCTAATGTGCCAACTTATCCTTGAGGTAAGATGGTGAAGGAGTATTGCCAGATTAAAGCAAACTACTAATGTGGTCTTTACAAACAGGTATTGAAATAAAAACATTTTTCAGAGCAAGAGTTGCACATCAGGTATGAGAGGATAAGTTAATTTGTTCAAGCAAAGAAACCACATCTGGTACAGCAGCTGCAATTAAGACACATCTGGTTAAGCTTACAATAATCTGGTCATTCTCCAACCTTGAATCCCACGGATAAAGGCTACTTGATCATCCTAGATAAGCTTTTTGATGTGCTGCTGGATTCAATTGGCCATTATTTTGTTGGGGATTTTTGCATGGCCTGATTTTTTTCTTTTCTTGTCTCTCTGTCAGGTTTTGGAATTAGGATGATGCTGGCCTCATAGAATGAGTTAGGGAGGAGTCCCTCCTCCTCAACTATTTGGAATAGTTTCAGGAGGAATAGTACCAGCTGTTCTTCGTACATCAGGTAGAAATCAGCTGTCAATCTGTCTGGTTCTGTGCTTTTTTTTTGTTTGATTGGCTGTTTATTACTGCCTCAATTTCAGAGCTCACTAGTGGTCTGTTCAGGAATTCAACTGCTTCTTGGTTCAGTCTTGGAACAATATGTGTCCAGGAATTTATCCATTTCTTCTGGATTTTCTAGTTTACGCACATAGAGGTGTTCATTATATTCTCTGATGGTTGTTATATTTCTGTTGTGTCAGTGGTGATATCCCCCTTATTGATTCTGATTGGATTTATTTTAATCTTCTCTCTTTTCTTCTGTATTAGTCAAGTTAGCAGTCTATTTTATTAATTTTTTCAAAGAACCAGCTCCTGGATTCGTTGATCTTTTGTATGTTTTTTGTGTGTCTCAAACTCCTGTAGCTCAGCTATAATATTGGTTATTTCTTGTCTTCTGCTAGATTCGAAATTTTTTTGTTCTTGGTTCTGCAGTTCTTTTAGTTGTAATGTTAGGTTGTGAACTTGAAATCTTTCTAACTTTTTGATGTGGACATTTACTACTATAAATTTCCCCATTAACACTGCCTTAGCTGTGTCCCAGAGATTCTGTTATGTTGTCTTTGGTCTCATTAGTCTCAAAGAACTCCTTGCTTTCTGCCTTAATTTTATTACTTTCCCAAAATTCATTTAGGAGCAGGTTATTCAGTTTACATGTAATTGTGTGGTCTTGGGCAAATTTCTTAGTCTTGATTTCTAATTTGATTGCTCTGTGGTCCAAAAGACGGCTTGTTATGATTTAATAATGTACTCCTGTAGCATAATGAACTCCGTTCTTAACATATTATGAATTATATTCCTGTCATATCAGTCGTATCAGTCAGGCTAAGGCTGAGGGTTCAATGTCAGCCTGGTTCAAAACCTTTTTTTTTTTTTTGGAGAGGTGATGTGGTCCTTTGGAGGAAAGAAGGCACTGTGGCATTTTGAGTTTTTACTGTTCATGTGCTGATTCCTTCTCATCTTTGTGGGCTTATCTACTTTCAATCTT
Source organism: Homo sapiens (assembly GCF_000001405.40). Classification (NCBI taxonomy): domain Eukaryota; kingdom Metazoa; phylum Chordata; class Mammalia; order Primates; family Hominidae; genus Homo; species Homo sapiens. The sequence continues at coordinate 13,955,316 of NC_000008.11, read as the reverse complement.
TGAGTTTGATGAACTTTGGATTTTTTTTTTCTTTTATCATATCTGTGCTACTGGTACAGTAGCAGCTGTGCACCTCTGTTACCCACACCCAACCACTTCCTGGTCCACCCAAACATGCAGCTTCTTGTGATTGCTAAGATTCAAAGAGATGCATGCATACCTTGCTTGACTGTGCTTTGCTTTGGTGTACTTTGCATATACTACATATTTTAAAAATTGCAGGTTTGTGACAACCCTATATTGCGTAAGTCTATTAGTGCCATTTTTCTAACATTGTGTGCCCACTGACGTGTGCTCACATGAATATTTCTGTGTCTCATTTTGGTAATTCTTGCAATATTTCAAATGTTTTTGTTATTATATCTGTCATGGTGATCTGCAGTCAGTGATCTTTGATGTTACTATTGTAGTTCTTTTGGAACACTGTACTGCACCCATATCAAAACGCAAACTTACTTGATAAATGTTGCGCTCTGACTGCTCCACCAGCCTGCCATTCCACCATCTTTTTCCTTTCCCTTGGGTCTCTATTCACTGAGACACAACAATATTGAAACAGGGCCATTGATGATTTGCAAAGGTCTCTAACTATTCAGCTGAAAGGAAGAGTCACATGTCTCTCACTTTAAATTAAAAGGCAGAAATTATTAAGCCTAATGAGGAAAACATGTCAAAAGCCAAGACATGCCCAAAGCTAGATCTCTTGCACCATGGTTAGCTAAATTGTGAATGCAAAGAAAAAGTTCTGGAAGGAAATTAAAAGTGCTACTTCAGTGAACACACAAATGATAAGAAAGCAAAATGCCTTGTTGCTATTATGGAAAAGTATTAGGGGGTCTAGATAGAAGATCAAACCAGCCACATAATTTCTTTAAGCCAAAGCCCAGTCTGAAGAAAGACCCTGCCTCTCTTTAAATGTATGAAGCCTGAGAGAGATAAAGATGCTACAGAAGTGAGTTTGAAATAATTTAATTAATGAGGTTTAAGGAAATAAGTCATCTCTGTAACATAAAAGTGCAACATGAAGCAGCAAGTGCTGATGGAGAAGCTGCAGCCAAGTGCTGATGGAGAAGCTGCAGCGAGTTATTCAGAGGATCTAGCTAAGATCACTGATTAAAGTGACTACACAAAACAATAGTCAATGTAGATGAAACGCCTTATATTGGAAGATGTCCTCTAGGACTTTCATGCTAGAGAGAAAATGTCAATGACTGCCTTCAAATTTCCAAAGGACTTGCTGACCTCTCGTTAGGGGTAATGCAGCTGGTGACTTTAAGTGCAAGCCAATGTTCATTTTCCATTCTGAAAATTCTGGGGTCCTTAAGAATTAGGCTAAATCTATTCTGCCTGTGCTCTGTAAATGACACAGCAAAGCCTGGATGATAGCACATCTGTTTAGAGCATAGTTTACTAAATATCTTAAGTCCACTTTTAGACCTATTGCCCAGCAAATATATATATATATATACACATATAAATATATATATATAAATATATATATATACACATATAAATATATATATATAAATATATATATATTTATATGTATATATATATAAATATATATATATTTATATATATATTTATATGTATATATATATAAATATATATATATTTATATATATATTTATATGTATATATATATATATATATATATTTATATATATATTTATATGTATATATATATAAATATATATATATTTGTATATATATATATATTCCTTTCATAATATTACTGCCCATTGGCAATGCACTTGGTTACCCAGAAGCCCTGATGGAGAATATGATTAATGATAGTTTCATGCCTGCTAACACAACATCCATTTTGCAGCCCATGAACCAAGAAGTAATTTTGACTTTCAAGTTTTATTATTAAAGAAATACATTTTATAAGGTTATGTATGAAAGAGATATTCCTCTGATGGATCTGGACAACATCAATTAAAAACCTTCTGGAAAGGATTTACCATATTAGATGCCATTGAGAACATTCATGATTCATAACAGTGGGTCAAAATAGCAACATCAGTAAGAGTTTTGAAGAAGTTGATTCCAACCTTCAAAGATGACTTTGAGGAGTTCAGGAAGCATCTGGAAATAACTACAGTGGAAGAAGTAACTGCAGATGTGGTGGAAGTAGCAAGAAAACTAGAATTAGAAGTGGAGCCTAAAAATGGGATGGAATTGCTGCAATCTCATGATGAATATTTAGTGGTTGAGGAGTTGCTTCTTATAAGTGAATAAAGAAAATGGTTTCTTGAGATGCAGCCTACTACTGGTGAAGATACTGTGAACATGGTTGAAATGAAAACAAAGGATTTAGACAATTATATACATGTCATTGATAATGCAGCAGCAGGTTATGAGAGGACTGACTCCAATTTTGAAAGAAGTTCTAGTGTGGGTAAAACGCTATCTAACAACATTGCATACTACAGAGAAATCATTCATGAAAGGAAGAATCAATTGACGTGGTAAATTTCATCATTGTCTTATTTTAAGAAATTGCTACAGACACCCCAATCTTCAGGAATCACCACCTTGATCATTTAGCAACCATCAACCTCAAGGCAAGACTCTCCAATGGCAAAAAGCTTATGACCTGCTGATATGACTCACTGATGGCTCAGATAAGTGTTAGCATTTTTTTTTAGCAATAAAGTATTTTTAATTGAGGTGTGTACATTTTTAGACATAATGCTATTGTAGACAGATGGAATAGACTACAGAAAACTATAAACATAACTTATATTCACTGGGAAACAAAAAAGTGTGTATGACTCACTTTATTGTGATATTTGCTTTATTGTGGTGGTCTGGAACCAAACCCACAATATCTCCAAGGTACACCCATATTCTCATTGTTGCTCTGACTGTGCTGACTTTTATGATAAACATGCCTACCCTGCCTTTGGTGACTGACTGACACCACTTCACTACTGCTTTCCCAGAATCCAATTATACCCATTGCATTCAGCTTACACAATTCATTGACTGCAGTCTCCACTGTAAGGTCTGGCCTATAGATAAGAGCAACCATAGCACTCTTCAAGCATGCTAAAACTCCACTTAAAATGTCTCTCTCACAAATTTGGCCCATTTATCCCATCTGGAAAGGGTGTATTTACCTAATGCCTGTACCCCCACCATTTGTATCTAGGAAGTAACTCACTTGCTTTTAAATTTACAGGCTCATAGGTGGAAGGGACTTGCCTTATCATAGGTGAGACTGGACTGTGGACTTTTGAGTTAATGTTGAAGTGAGTTAAGACTTTGGGGGACTGTTGGGAAGGCATTATTGGTTTTGAAATATGAGAACATGAGATCTGGGAGGGGCCAGAGTGGAATAATATGATTTGGCTGCATCCCTACCTGAATCTTACCTTGAATTGTAGCTCCCATAATTCCCACGTGTTGTAGAAGGGACCCACTGGGAGGTAATTAAATTATGGGGGCGAGTCTTTCTGGTGCTATTCTTGTGATAGTGAATAAGTCTCATGAGATCTGATGGTTTTAAAAAGGGGAGTTTGACTGCATAGTCTCTCTCTTGCCTGCCACCATGTAAGACGTGACTTTGCTCCTCATTCACCTTCCACCATGATTGTGAGGCCTTTCCGGCCATGTGGAACTGTGAGTCAATTAAACCTCTTTCCTTTATAAATTACCAATTCTCAGGTATATCTTTATCAGTAGCATGAGAACAGACTAATACACCTGCCTTCTAATTAAAAAATGTATCTAGTAGCATTCATAGCTTAGAGAAATGTATTTTTTATTTGTTTTGATGACAGCATACATTAATTCTGAATTCAATTTTTGGCAATTTATCGTTAGGTATATGTATAAATAATTTTTAATTCACTTTAGGTTAAGAAAAAAATTGGTTTTAGGTCTTATTCTGGTTTTGTGAAAAATCATATTACTTTTATTTATTTGCAATTTTTAAGAGTTATATTAAATTCATTTCGGGTTGGGTTTTAGATGCATCCCATTTTCTAATCTTGTTTTTGTGGGGGACGGGAGTGCATGTATTTTTGTGTGCTAAGCACATAAAGGTGTAACATATCTAGAGAAACTATAATTTGTATGTAATGCCATGATATTGGAGAAGTCACAGTGAGTAAGTGAACATATTTGTTGTCATCTGGCTGCTGCTACACTATGAAATGTACGTATAAAATTACATTAGAATGGTTGCTTTCAGGCAGCTAGGTCTACCTTGCCACTTTTCATTAAGTTGACTATGGTTGAGGAGGTGCTATTAAAATCTAGTTAATCCTACTGAATGTCAAATTTTTTACATTAAGGAGTTAGACATGGAACCTGAGCAGAAATGACAAGTATAGCTGTCAAATTATACAATAAATTATCTTGACACACTCAGCATATTATTTCACATGCTGTAAATTATACACTGTGGTGTATAAAGAGCATAGATTTCAGAGACATATCTATTTTCAAACACTGCTCCACCACTGAGCACCACTATGAGCTATGTAGAATAATATCTGCATCATAGAAATTATTTTTAGAATATATTGTTGTGAAATAATGCAATCACATATGCTCCCCCTACACATTCTTCATTTTCCATTAAAGTACTAGACTAGGGTTTGCTTGCTTATTTAGATGGCAAATTTACCCTCTATTATTTCATTTAATTGAGTATCAGATTAAAAAATTTAAGACTTTTTGCAACATTATCAAAAACAGTCTGTTCCTCAATGAATGCTCTTGACTAAAGACACTAGTGTTTCCCACAGGGATCATTCACAAAGTACTGGGTTACTATTAAACGAAACAAAAACGAATATAGTATTTACATGGGAATTTCTTTTAGACATATTCACAAAATGATGCAGCAGCTATATTATCAGGTTTTCTGTGCACCTCATGCCCTGTGTATGAGCTCTTGGTCTTTTAGGTCCTTGGTCTTTATGTTGCTTTGTTGTTTTGTTGAAGTCATCATCCACTGCAGAACCCTGAGATCAAATGCCACACTCTTCCTTTTGAAAAGTGCTTCTTTTCCTTAAAACACACTGTTCTCTTTTCACATGGCCCTTTGATACATGACTAATTTTTTATAATGATTAAACACGGTTTTACTTAGCTGAAATATTTACATGTTACCAAAAAACTTTCTTTAACGTGTGATCAATGAGACACATCAATAACTAAAACAATGAGATAAAGAGATATATATGGATATTATACAGATATAATAACCCTTTAATCCCCCCCAAAAAAATTTTTTTTTAATATTGAGTGGTATCCCAATACTGAGAACATTTCCTTTAAGGATATGAAACAAATGTATCAAATCAATATCTGATTATTTTAGTTCGAACCAGCCACATTAACTCATAAAAGTTATAATCTTTACCTATATTGTCCTTAAAATATAATCATGATATCATTGTTTATTATATGTAGCGTCATACAGTTAAAAATATCTCTTTTTATACTCATTTGCAGTTTCAGCCTCAAATATGACTCACAATCTTAGAACTGTTTCCTTCATGTTATTTACATGTATATTTGGGTGTGTTAGAAATAAAATTTCTATAATATACACATTTATGGACCATTTTAATATTAGAGACTATTTCCAAATTATCTGCTATTAAAAATGTTAACATATTTAGCAGCTAACCAATGTACTTACTCCTCTAAAGATTGTATCACTTTTTAATCTACTGGGGCCACTGAGATTGTCCCAATGCTGTAGAATTAGTTAAAATTAATTAATCTCAAACTGTTAAATATTTAAATAAATATCTTTTGACTTTTCTACCCTAACACATTTACATGTCAGTCTGTTCCTTTTATCCTTCTATCTTTCATATTTTATTTTTATTCTCTATTGCCCCATCATTTAACTCATGTGTTCTCACTGAAGTATTAGCATCAGTAAGATGCATTCCTCCAGTTTGACAACCTTAATGGATTTTGCATCAAAATAGTCAATAATTGTTACTACTTTTTGCTAATTTATTAATTTCACTATCCTTGATGCTGTTATGATATACACTTTTTATTTGATATATTCTTGGAAGTATTATTACTATGAGCAGCATATTTTATAATGATCCATTCATCACTTTAAATATAATTTCATAAACCAACACAATAGATTAGCAACTATATGTTGATAATTTATAATCATTTTGATAAAAATGAATTGTGCATTAAAATAATAACAATATAAAATTAGTGAATTCCTTAGTTGACTATCATTAAAGCAGGCACCCTAGAGATACATCATCAAAGATAAAATGATTTTTCAGATGTAAGCAATGTCCTAGATAATTCAGGAGAGAGTGGTATGTTTTTTTAGGATCTTGGATACCCTTGTAACAGTTTCTCTGTTTTGGTTGATCTTTTATGTTTAAAGCTGTATATTTGAAATGATGAAGTCAAGCTATAAAAATAAGCAATGTGTGGCATTATAAATCTCTACTGGCTTAATTGTTTTCCTTCCAATAGAGTTAAACTTCATTTTGTATCAAACTCTTGCAATCCAGCCATCTTTATCATTCACCTATTTCAGAAACAAAATTGACTCATAAAATGACAGAACAGTTTGCTTCACAGGGAGCAGATGTGGGCATACATTACATGGCATTCCATCTGTGATGATCATATATCTCTATGGCTCGTAAAAAATCATTGGTTCTCCTAAAGAAATGTTTACCAGTTGAATATTCTTCACCAAGAGCACAGGCTGAACTACTTGAGGTCATTCCCTTTAACGAAATGCTTAGGGACCCCTTTAAGGCCTTGTCGTATAGTGTGAGGAAGGAGCACTGGGTGTTTCTTGCTGGATGTGCAGGAGTTTACTGGGTACAGCGGGTCTGATGTTATATTTTAATTAATATATAAAATACATATTACAGAATAATACATATAGGTGTATAGATATTTAATAAAAATCTGTTAGATGGAAATTTCAGAACAATCTTTGTCAAACAAAAAACAAAGTGGAATAAAAATTGGAATGAGTGATGACAAAAGATTATAAAGACAGTAACTGTAATGTCAAACCTAGACCAAAAAGAAAAATAAATGTGTTTACTGAAGCCTGCAGAAACTTTATCTTGTGAGTGTTTGTTTGTTTTTTGAGACGGAATCTCACTCTGTTGCCAGGCTGGAGTGCAGTGGCACGATCTCAGCTCACTGCAACCTCCTACTCCCTGGTTCAAGGAATTCTCCTGCCTCAGCCTCCCGTTGTGAGTATTTTTGTCACTGGCTTAGTAATATAAGCTATTATTATCCAAAAGAGCAGTGCTAAAAAGTGCTCAAATTAACTGTATAAAAACTATGAAAAAACTGAAAATCTGATCATTGATTTATTCAAATTAGTCTCCATAGTGGCTGAGAAAAATTCTATTGTTAAAGACATTTCTGATGGACTCAAAAAGGAATAAAATAACAGAGTGAAAAGTCGAACTGTCTGTGATAAGTGGGCTATATTATCTTACCTCTTTATTAGGATGCAATTTCTATGTATGCATGTAAATAGGTGGATTATTTATCTATTGCTGTATAAAAAAATACCTCAGACCTTAGTGTCTTAAACATCACACATTTCTTATCTCACATTTTCTGTGTGTCCAAAATCTGTAACTGATTTCTGTGGGTCTCTCTGTATCTAGTTTATGGACTTTCATGAGGCTGAAATCAAGGAGTCAGCCAGGGCTGAGGCTGAAGTTTTAACTGAGGAAGGATCTAGCTCACAGTTCACGTGACAGGCAGGAGGATTTAGTTCTTCAGGGACCATTTGGTTACCGGCCTCAGTTCCTTACTGCCTGCTGGTCAGAGGAATTATGCCATTTTCCTATCACCCGGTCTTCTCCCACATGGCAGCTTACTTCATCAAAGACAATAAAAGAGTGAGAAAAACAGTCTAATATCAAGAAAGATATTATTTTCTATAACCTGATTAAGGAAGTGACATCTCCTCAACATTGTCATGTTCTACTGATTAGAAGCAGGTCACTAAATGGAAAACAATGGCATAATGGAGGGAATATCTGGGGGTTGGAATCATGTGAGGCCACGTTAGAGGCTGCCTGGCACAATACCAAATTCATGCTACATGCAACCAGGGGGTAACTGTTGATATATTATAACTATGTACTTTAATTTTTTATTTATTTCTGCTGCCATCCTCTTGCCAAATCCTCTGATTATTGTTAATTTACTAGAATTTGGGGGGTACTTGAAGATAAAACTCAGATTAGTCAATAATTAACCCCAAGAGAATGCTTAGGGAGAAACTGAGTATTACATAATAGCAGACTTGTTAATGAGAAGATTATGGCTTATGAATATGTTGCTATTCGATTCAGAAAATTTTGGCAACGTTTGTGGTTAATATTATGCACCTAATTGAATGGTCGAAGGTTTGGATATTACATGTATATTTGATTTTTCTATTTATTTTTTCCACAAATAAATTAGAAATGAATGGAACTGAATAGAATCAAATGTAATGCTATATTATAGTCTTCTGTTTTTTATTTTCTTTCATTTTTTTCTAAAGTCATATAAGTATACAATGGTAATTTCAAATACAGTCATCCAAATTCTAAATATGCAAATCAAAAACACCTTATTAAGCTGCCAAGAGAAATTAGCGTTCCTGAGACTTGCATCAACAGTTAGTAAATAAGTGTCTCGAGAGTAAAATGGATATAAATTGTCTTCTAATCTAAGACCATCCCACGTGCCCAAGAAGGTTACTGGACGATGAAGTAGCTCCAGGGCTTCAGAGCGTGTCCTCATCCATGCCCCCTTTCTAGTCAAGTTTTTTCTTTTTTCTATTTTAGAAAAAAAAATATTAAAATAATAAGGTCTTATGAAAGAGTTAACCTATTGATTTAAGTTCATACTACGATTAAATATTTGCATTTAAGAATTTCTGGAGAATGGTTATAGATAATTAATAGAAGAATGAAAGAGAGAGAAAAAGAAGGAAGGAAGGGAGGAAGGGAGGAAATGAAGGGAAGGGAACAAAAAATAAGAATGCTACAAATATAGAATTAGATACAGATGATATAGATATAAGAGAGAGAAAAAGATGATGGGGTGATATGAGGGAAACTTGCAAAAAGATTCCACCTGAATCCAAGTGCATCAGATGGGAGGCATCTGAAGGCTCTCTCTCCATCTCTGCCAGATGTTCCTCTAGGTGTTGGATACTACAATTGTGAACAAGCAAAATACAGTTCCTATTGTCTCAGATCTCCCTTACCACATCATAAAATATTGCATATGAATAACATAATTTCTACAAATGCTAAATGTTGTAAAGAAAATTAAACACAGTGTAGGGATAGAATATAAGAGTCTGGCGTGGGAAGACACTGTGCTGTAGCCATAGAAGGAGACAGGCAAAAATCTTGGGGAAGGGCATTTTGCCTGAGAGAAGAGTAAATACAAAATCTCCCAGACACGAATAAGTCTCAGTCTGTCCAGAGGACAAAAATAAGTTGAAAGTTGTCAAAATATTGGGAACTGGTATGAGGAGGAGAAACCATCTTGAAACACAGTCAGGGGACAGATTAAATGGGGCCATTGTAAAGGGATTGGATTAAATCTTATTGCATTGGGAAAACACTGATGTTTTCCAAACAAAAAGGTTGTGTCATCAAATTTACAACTGGAAAAAACACTGAGGTCTGGGAGCTGTGAAGAGAATCCCTTTAGGAGTCGCAGAAGAAAACAGTGTAATTAGTCATGACAGGAAATCATGTAGGAAGAGATGAAGATGGAAACGAGAGTTGTTGCTACAGACATAGGGGATATGTTAAAATTTGAGGAATATTTTGGAAGCAGGCAGAACTTGAGGACTTATTGAAATACACATATGAAAGAGAAAGACATTTCAGATGACAACCCTAGAGGTTTTAGCCTGAGCATGGGCAATTATATTGATTGCAACATTGTTTTATCGATTAAGATATCAGAATGAGGAAGGATCAGTTTTTGGTAAATGTGAGTCAAATCTACAATTATGTACTACAAAGCTAAGTTCGAGAATCTTACAAGGTATTAATTTATAAACCATTCCACAGAAATGACATCTACTAAGGAATTAGGATTGAAAATCTGCAAGGTAAAGATTGCATATAATTATTTTTGAAAATCTCATAGGAATACTAACATTGAACACATAAATATATTTTCTTTGTTAAATTCAATATACTTTTCCAAAACTATTAGTCTATTTTACTATTGCTTTCTTTTTTGAGTTCCAGATAAAATTTTTGGCTTTTGATTCTTTTCACATAAAAAGGTTTATTTTTAAACAGTAGAAACATAGTCAGTAGAGTAAGACACTTACATTTGATAAGGCATTCAGGAACTGAGAACAACTAGAGAACAGTACCTTTATGTCACCTAAGTCATTCAGGGCATTCATTCAGGGGCATGTATTCATTCAGAACATATGCCCATTAAGAGAAAATATTGGCAGCATAGCCTGTGCTATTTAAAATCAACTTTAGCAAGATGGTAGGATAGGAGGTAACCCAATCACATCCCCTCACAGCAACAAGAATTCTTAATCCATCCATAGACAAAAGCCTCTCTGCAGAAGCCTCAGGATTCAGGTAGGAGATTATGCAACACCAATGATGCCCAAGACCTAGGACAGTTATTTTGAGTGCAGTCTGATACCCAAGTGGTTGATCTGCTGATTATGCACCTAGGCTCAAGCCTGGAAATAGCCCCATTCTCCAAGAGGCTTGGCTATAGTCACATTTGGCCTTGACCAAAACCATCTGCCAAGGGGTCCAGAAAAAATCATGCATACTAGTGCCTTGGTGAAAAGACTCAACTACCTGCAGACATTGGTCTTGGCAGTGAACCAGAAGGTTGTCCTGTGTCTTGGCTCCAGCCCACCTCAGCTGAGGTCCCAGTTAAGAATATTCATTACTTTTGGGAGAGCAGAACTGATGGATTCTGATCTCCAATTTGTACTTCGAGACTTCTTGAACCAACACTTCAACCATACATAATAGATTATCCTGTGCATTTTTGTCCGAATTTTGGCTTTTCTGAACTTGGAATTTGGCTGGCATCATTCTAGACCACTCGTGTATCACAATTAGGATGACAAAGATTTAAGAGATCTCGGTTCTGCAGGCAGTTGTTGAATTCTAAGTTAGATGGTCTACTTAAGATACTTCAATGCAAGCCCTTTGCCATAATGTGCTCAAATTCCACAATTCTTTCATCGATGTGTCCCTATTGGATGAAAGATACCATGCTAATAAAATCAGTGACAATAATCTGTCATAAATTGTCTCTCCGAGACAATTAAGTTAATATATAATTGTGAACAATTCCAGAGCTAGCAAAATAATTCTATATGGGAGAATAGCAGCAAAGAGATTGCAGGTATCTGGAAGTAACTATGAAAAAGAATTAAGAAACTGCATAGGGGAGACATTTACCTTTTTTTAATTGTTCTTGACTTTCTATCTCTTGGAGAAAATTGGGGTCATAGTGTACTTTAAAAATCAATGAAATAAAGAGTAGGGGAATTTAAGTTCTAAAACTTTGTTAAATTAAGAAGACATCTGTAAACCCTAGTAAAATAAAAGCCCAATATTAATTTCAAAGAGACTAATTGCTGTCAAGAATTACAAGAGTAAAAAATATGTTACACTAAATATATATCCACCTCTATCCATGAAGCAAAATCTCTTACACTAAATCAATTCTTGAGGAGAGAAAAAGTTGGGATTCTGCCAGGATTTGTATTCAGCTAGAGTCAGGATGCATGAAGCAGCATATTGTAAGGAACATTCTGACTTGCTTAAGAGTTATGAGAGCAGACAGTGTGAGGAGGATGTGGGAGGACTAAGGGAAGATGGCAGCAGAACTCTACGGGAAACATAAGCCATGGAGAACCAAAAGTTGTCCCTGCCGGGTTCGGTGGCTCATGCTTGTAATCCCAGCACTTTGGGAGGCCGAGGCAGATGGATCATGAGGTCAGGAGTTTGAGACCAGCCTGGTCAACATAGTGAAACCCCGTCGTACTAAAAATACAAAAAAATTAGCTGGGCGTGGTGGTGGTGGGCACCTGTAATCCCAGCTACTCAGGAGGCTGAGGCAGGATAATCACTCCAACCCAGGAGGTGGAGATTGCAGTGAGCTGAGATTGCACCATTGCACTCCAGCCTGGGCAACAGAGTGAGACTCCATTTAAACAAACAAACAAAAAAAGGTGTCCCTGAAGCTGGCACATTTAGTAATGGAATAGTTCCTCCTATAGGAAAGGTAAGACTAGGCAGCATGTATGAATGAACTAGAAAAGTGGTAAAGGAGGCTATTTTTGTGTATATTTTGCTGATGTAAATGCACATCACTGCTTGAGAAGTTACAAGAAAGAATTTTTAAAAAATAAATCAAAAAAATAAAATTAGAAAATATTTTCCTTTTGACATCATCTATCGTCACCTAAAATGTATACAAATAAAATACCATAAAGGGATTAAATCTTAGAAGACATAGAATATTAGGTTAGCTCAAATTGATGATTTAAAGAAAACAGGATTGGAGAGGCTGAAATGAAGAACTTGAAGCATGGGGCAGATGAAAAATTTTTAAATTAAAAATTAAGCTATTGAGTTCAGGATTATTTTGATTAAAGAGATCTATTCAAATCTGCCTATTACAGCTTTCACTTACTTAGAGTGATTTTAGTTAGTAATCACCAAATGCAAATGGTCTTGGATGCTTACTTGGTCTCTGAAAACTAGGTACTCATTTTAAAGTATGTTCCACATTTGCCCAAGACAAAATTGCTCAGCACATTCCCAAACCTATGGTGCAAAAGTACTCTTACTGGAAAGCTGGGAATCATTCTTAGAACCACCTTTGGGGGAAAATAAATTGTGGAATTCTAATTTGTTAAATTTTATTTTTGTTGGCAATAGAATATGATCACTTGTACTGTCACCTGCATGGGTGTATGTTTATGATTTCACTTACAAAGAACAAAACATGAAAATTAATCAATGTCCACATTAAGCTCATTTTCCAGTAAAAACATGCAGCATCAATATGTGCAGGTAGTTATAGCAAAGTCATTACCATTCTTCTTGAAAAAAAAAATCAATAAAATTAGAAATAGAAAGATTTAGAAAAAATGCCTATTTTAAAGAACTAATGGTTCTGAGTTTATTTAAGGGTTAAAGACTGGGGCTGGGTATGGCAGCTCATGCCTGTAATCCCAGCACTTTGGGAGGCCAAGGTGGGTGGATCACTTGAGGCCAGAAGTTTCAGACCAGCCTGGCCAACATGAGGAAACCCTGTATCTATTAAAAATACAAAAAAATGAGCTGGGCATGGTGGCGCATGCCTGTAATTCCAGCTACTAGGGAGGCTGAGGCATGAGAGTCGCTTGAACAGGTAGGCAGAGGTTGCAGTGAGCTGAGATCATGCCACTGGGTGACAGAGGGAGACTCTGTCTCAAAAACAAAACAAAACAAAACAGAACAGTTAAAGATTTGTTGTAGTATTGTTTGTACCATTTTTTGTTTTCCTAAGTTAATAGCGTTGAAATTCCAAGTAATTTTTATTATTTGGTTATACTTTTCTTTAGATAGTAGTCCATGGTTTTCTTCTATTTCACAGTGCAATTAATTTCTCAAGTTTGAATAGCATGTGCCTATATAATAAGATGTTAAAAAATGAAAGCTATTTAATCAATATGTATTAAATAAGTAACTTTGGCCAAAATGGAAAATAGAAAAACTGATACCCTGATGTTTTCAACGAGTTAATAGAGCTTTTCAATATATTCCATTTGTTTAAAGGGAGAGGTTACCCCAATAATATAAAAATTTTACTCAACAAAACATTGTCATTAATATTAATCGATTATATGCTGCTTGACAAATTTATTTGTTTGACTAAGAGACAAAGACTTTTTCCACCCAGAAAAATGTATTTAAGAAATACACTCCAGCAGTCATTGCAACACTGAAGGCCTTTTTGAATATCTTACAGATTTATGGTGAAATAAAGTATTTGAATTAATTGAACTCCTCTTCTTTCCTACATATATAAAAATCTTATTTTAAGAATCTTTTACTTATGTTCCAAATTATTTTATTTTATTTTATTTATTGAGATAGAGTCTCCCTCTGTTGCCCTACCTGGAATGCAGTGGTGCAATCTCAGCTCACTGAAACCTCCACCTCCTAGGCTCAAGTGATTCTCCTGCCTCAGCCTCCCGAGTAGCTGGGATCACAGGCATGCGCCACCATGAACACCTAATTTTTGTATTTTTAGTCAAGAGGGAGTTTCACTATGTTGACCAGGCTGGTCTGGACTCCTGGTCTCAAGTGATCTGTTTGCCTCAGCCTCCCAAATACTGGGATTACAGGCCTGAGCCTCTGCTCCCAGCTGCAAATTATTTTAAATTATTACAACTATTATAGCATTTTCATGGAAACATGCTAATGATCTTTTTCTACCTTCTTATATATTTCCAATTATAATATATGCCCAATTTTCTTATATACACCTAATGGTAAAGAAAAATAAAATGATTTGTTTTAACCTTTTTCATTTTCCCCTACCTCCTACGTGGCTCTTTAAGAATACAGTCATAAATTTTACCTTCTCACCACCGGATAGTTCCTATACTACATAGCAAGATTACCTAACTATGAGTTTACTTAGAAGTTCTGGAGACCGAACCTTGAAACAAACTAGGTACCTACCCACAAGGAGACTGCCTCAGAGAATGGTCAGTTTACAACCTAGCTCTGCCTGCAATGGCACCAGACAGCAAATCACGCAGAACTTGCCTCTACTCACCCCCTTCCCTCCATGCCTTTAACACCAAGTCCCTTTTTAAAAGACTCTGCTTTCTGCCCAGAAAGCGGAAGCAGCTCCCTTTAAGGCAGGAACCTGTACCACTTCCTTTCAGCTAAGCTTTGGAATAAAAGCCACTTACTTTCCACCAGATCTCATTCTTGCTCATGGGACTCAGCAAGTGGCTGGCAGATGGACTTGTGTCTGGTTATACCATCTTCGTTACATATGGAAATTTTTATAGTACTGATGTTTCCTACAAAATGGGACATTTAGATATAGTTTCTCAATTAAGTATATGTACAGGATTGTCTGTATGGAGAAATATATTACTAAGTGACAAACTAAGACAATTGAATAGGCCTGAGTTTGGAAAATACATTTTTATCAGGTGCTTTCCTTTTTAAAATTATCTGTGGAGGACATGGTGGCTAAAAAGTAGTGCTGAGGGCAGGTGATATTACATGATGAAAGACAGAAGTTTTATTCTTCTCATTGTGTTCTGAGAAATCACTTTCAGACCAATGACAGGGTATGCACCATTGTTAACAGAGTAAACAGATTTTCTGAACTGTGATTCCTATATCTATTGAAAAAGCTCCCAGATGTCTGTCTCCGTGGGGATAAGCTTTGAACTCTATATTTTTAGAAATTCTTGAGTATACAGAGAATCATTCTTTATGAATGGTAGAAAAATTATTTCTACACATGATATAAAATAATTATACTAAGTGCCATTTTAAAATTTTATCTTATATCACAAAGTTTCCTGTATCTATTCTGTAGTTGTATTGATAATTCACGTATACTTATAAACTGTTTGATGAATTTTTATACTATCACTATGTAGAGAAGCTATACATTCTAAAATGTTATGAAAATATAATAAATCAATAGGGTAATAAATATGAAAATTTAGAAGTGGAAACTTCATAGTAAAATATTCCTTGCAAAAACTGACTCAGAAAAAAACAAAAAACTTGAAAAGTCCTAAAATTATTGAATAAATTAAAGCAGTAATAAAAAATTCACTATTAAAATGAAAATAAAAAAAGATCACTTCAGTGATGAATCTATATAAACATCAAAGAAAAAGATAAGCTCAGTATTATACAGAGTTTCCCAGAGAAAATGAAAAAAAGGATAAAAAACTTGTCAACTTATTTCATGGCATTTAACACAATCTTAATATATAAACCTGAGAAGAGCACTATAGAGAGAAAAATTATAGGGTGATCTCATTCATGAACATGGGTCAAAATATTTGGCCCTGTGTTCTCAGTAAGGGAATCAAGTAATTGAACAACACTATCAATATCCTTCATCTAATTCTTAAGCTAATTCTTCATTTTGGCTGATGGCCAAAAACCTAGGCAATCACAAACAATTTACCTGGCTTTTTTTTTTCAGTTTTCTGATTTCAATTATTATTATTGTTGGCTTTTGAGAGTTCTAGTTATATTCTAAGATTTTATTAAATATATTTAAAGTATTTTGAGTCCATGACTTACTTTTTAAATTCTTTTTTTTATTTTATTATTATTATACTTTAAGTTTTAGGGTACATGTGCACAACGTGCAGGTTAGTTACATACGTATACATGTGCCATGCTGGTGTGCTGCACCCATTAACTCGTCATTTAGCATTAGGTATACCTCCTAAAGCTATCCCTCCCCCCTCCCCCCACCCCACAACAGTCCCCAGAGTGTGATGTTCCCCTTCCTGTGTCCATGTGTTCTCATTGTTCAATTCCCACCTATGAGTGAGAATATGTAAACTCTCTTAATAGTGTCTCTCAAAAAGCCAAAGTTCTGAATTGATGAAATCATATCTTATACACTTATTTTGAAGATTAAATGATGAGTGCATGTAAATTATTAAAATGGTACTTGGAAAAGAGTAAATTTCTGTTTTATCATAGTCTGAATGTGCTACCTCATGAGAACTTTACTCTTTCAAGGATCATCAAAGATAAGTGCTGAGTCTCAAGATTCTTTTTTAAAAAAATGACTTCCTAAATGGAATCTGAACTCCAAGTGGATCTCCTGTTGAACATACACTTGGGTGTAAGGACACATACTGTGCTAGGGCAGGGGCAGCTCTGAGCAGCATTTTCCACTGGAACAGGAAAGTGACCACAGCTTTCATTGTGAACATGTTACCATAGCTGACCAAGTTAACCATAGGTAGTTTTCAGGACATCTGATTATATAGAACTTGAATATCTAAAATATTACCCTGGTACCTTGTGGTTCTCAAACTTCTTTTACCAGAGAACTCTCTTATCACACTGTATACTAGTGACAAAAAAAAAAAAAATGCTCCAGTGTTCTTCTGACAATGCTTTGAGAAACGCTAGTTCAGGATACCAATTCAGCAAATATTAACTAAGTACCTAATTTGCACTGGGACAAAGTTCTAGGAATGAAGATACAGTAATGAACAAAATAGACAAAAATCTCAACTCAAAAAGGCTTTCATACTTGTAGAAACGAATTTTTTTAAGATTGAGGCAATTTCAATGCTTGATAACTAAAACTATATTAAATTCAGTCTTCTGAAGTATGTATGAGTTTATAATTTTTAATTGTAACACAAAATAATGAATTTTACCTTGAGAATTATTTAATGTTACCATAGTAATTCCTGAGTAAAATAGAATGACACTGGTAACATCATAATTCTAGTGCCAGCATTTAAAATTGTGACTATGAGGAAAATAAGGTAATAAAAAATAGATTTTATTTATGTCCTTGTTTCTTACCCATATTCTCGTTTTCACTTTTTTCATCTATAAATTCAAATATTTTCTATTATTATATGTCCTACTGTACTCCTCCATATTTAATATCATTGGGAATCATTGTAAGTATTTTAGACCTGTTTCTCATATAGATTCCTTTTAGAGATGAAGGGAACTTTTCTTTATCTTTCTGAAGTTTTGATAATTTGAGTCAAGGAAACTGAGAATAGATAGATTAACAGGAGAAAAGGTGTAAATATGTATTATATGCACATAGAAATCTCCCCCACAAAAAGATGACTTTTTAGAGCTATTGAAGTGCCTGTGGTCCCTCAGAATAGCCATCTTGAAATATACCAGAAAAAGATATATCATGGGGTAGCATATTTTTCTTTCCCGCGATTTTCTAGTATTTTATGTTAAACAAGGTTACTTCTCTTTCTTTATTTTCATTTTATTTTGAGATGGAATCTTGCTCTGTCGCCCAGGCTGGAATGCAGTGGCAACATCTTTGTTCACTGCAATCTCCACCTCCCAGATTCAAGCGATTCTCCCACCTCAGCCTCCTACGTAGCTGGGATTACAGGTGCACACCACCACGCCTGGCTAATTTTTGTATTTTTAGTAGAGACGGGGTTTCCCATGTTGGCCAGGCTGCTCTCGAACTCCTGACCTCAAGTGATCTGCCTGCCTCAGCCTCCCAAAGTACTGGGATTACAGGCATGAGCCACCATGCCCGGCACTTCTCCTTTTTTAGAGAAAGGTATTTTGTGTAGGAGAGGGAAACTACAAAATAGATCCACAGACTTAAAAACCTCACAAAGATAGCTCTTAAAACATACAACTCTGGGGACTGTGGGTGGGGTGGAGGGAGGGGGGAGGGATAGCACTGGGAGATATACCTAATGCTAGATGACGAGTTAGTGGGTGCAGCGCACCAGCATGGCACATGTATACATATGTAACTAACCTGCACAATGTGCACATGTACCCTAAAACTTAAAGTATAATAAAAAAATAAAAAAATAAAAAAATAAAAAGTCAAGAAACAAACAAACAAACAAAAAGTACATGCAAAAATTGTGCTAAAATAGTACCAGAAAAGAAAATTTGTAAACCTGTAAATTTCTATAAACTGGGATAAAATCTTAAAAAAAAACAAAAAACATACAACTTGCTAAAAAGAATAAAAATGAAGGATCTGCTAAAAGGTCAGTTCTACTCTAAGCTTTTATCTGTTCAAGGAATAGCCCTGTGGGAACATGTGTATCTTAAAAGACAGGAATATTTTTTTGACTCCAGGAGTTAGGTTGGAAAGGCAAAAAACTAAAACACTCTCTAACGGCATTTAATTCCAGTAAAGCTGAGTATATAAACAGTCTATATGTTTCAGATAGTATGAAGATATTTGCTTATCAATGACACTAGAAGCTAATATTTTGCAGTATATGTAAAGAAAATCATTATTTAGATGAAGGAAAATATAAATTGATGGATTAATCCCTACACTCTTTTATTTTTAAGTTTGAGTTTCTTCAGTTAAATCTAAGCTAATAAATGAAAGAGACATAAAAAGAGATAGAACTGTCTAAGCAGTAGTGGTTATTTCTTGGAATCCTCATAGTTTCATTTCTGTTTCAGTAAAGAGAAATTATAATGTGCCAATTAAATGTCCCTCCAGTCTGGATAGAAAAATCTTAGATGATATTATATTGGGTCACCTTTTTGTGAGTTGTATGTTAAAGTCTTTTGTGTTCACATAATCTATCTTCTATCTGAAGTATATTTATCACTAAATTTTTTTGGCAGAGCTTTCTTTCTGTAGCAGGCATAGCACAGGGTGTTGGAGAGTTAGAAGAAACTACGCTTTTCCAGTAAAAAAAAAAAAAAAAAAAATTCTGCAGAAAGAAATTCCACTATCAGCTTTGTTTATGAATTTTTAAAATATTATCTGTATTCTTTTAAAAAAACACATATTCCTAGACAGAGTGACTCTTGAAGATTATAAAACTTTAACAGGGATGAAATTTTCAAATCTTGGATCTATGTGATACCTCATGGAAGCACAGAATTATGGGGCAAAATAACAAACTACCTAAATAGAAGAAAATGTCAGAAATGGAAAATAATAGAAAAGTAATAGACTAGGATTCTATGATTCCTAATTCTCAGTTTTATTTGTATGTTTAACTCATTGTATGGCTCAGAGAAAGTCACACATTTTCTTCACCTGCAAAATATAAGGATGGGATTCTATAACCCCAAAGATTATTTTCAGCCTAAAATTTTATGAAGTTGGTCTACTTCCTTATATCTTATTGGGCTAATTCTGCTGCCCTCAAATCACTATAGGTGAATTCAGAGTGGGGAGTCAGGTATATACTCAAGTGTTGCCCCATGAAATCAGCCTGGAGTAGATAGCCTAGCTGAGAAAGAAGTACAGAAAAGGCTCAAATGAGCGCTTACCTCTAAATCTGTATGACTCAAATTATGTTACTTTAACACGAAGAAGGGGGAATAATGTTAGAATTTATTAATAGACAATAAAATGTACCTCCAGTATACTACAGAGTTAGTTCCTCAGTAGTGAAAAAGTTATTGCTCATTCTAAATGAAGTTACACGCAAGAAAATAACATAGAGAAGAAGAGACTAGCTCAATGATTTACAGAAGGTCAATGTATTTACACAGAGTAAACCAATTAATTGCAGCTTTTTGTCAGTTTTATTGAAACTATGTTCTCCAAGTGTTTTAACTGCTATTAAAAACAATGCAAAGTTTTCCTTACAAAAAAAAAAAGAAAGAAAATGTTGGAATAAATTTATCACTCTCTGGACAATATAGTTTCCTTTGATTTTGGCAAGTTAAATTTGAGCAGAGGAATGTTTTGTTGTTCTTGGTGTTTAATAGAAGTCTCTATCAAAGCAAAAGTTGCACTTCATAAAGTTAAACAGACAAGGAACAATTTATTTGAAGCTATTGCAATAACAGAGAGAAGCCAAAAGTCAGTCTCAGCTCAATTCCACTAAAACAAAGGACTAGGGAGTTTTTAATAGCTGAGAATTTGGGGGAATTAAGTAATTGTAAACCATCAATGTGTGCTTATTGGCCTTACTCAGAGGGAAAGTAACTTTCTCATATCTTCCTGACACGAGGTAATTTTGCAACTTGGAGCAAGATGCACCAGGGAACTTAGAATGGAATCCTGCCACAGAAGACAGGGATAAGGGCAATATCTTCCTTGATGATTACATTTTAATCAGATGGTTCCCAAATCCTTGAGAAAGATAGTTATGGGGGCCAAGGGAAAACTTTCCTTTTACCACTCAAAGTTTACTGAAAATCAAAGAAAAATAAGACAAATTAGGAGAAATGGTATACCAATTTAGTAATGCTCATGGAGGAGGATCACAGAGTAACTACCTCCTCATGCAATGCTGTACAAATGATTATATACCTTTCTTCTTAGAGGAAAGGGAGATGGAGAAGTGTGGATGAAATTTGTAACCTCTCAATGGGTTCATTTTTCCTGCTGCCCAGATAGAGCCAATTTATCAAGACAAGAGAATTACAATAGAGAAATAGTTTATTTCATGCATAGCTGGCTGATTGGGAGAATGGAGTTTTATTACTACTCAAACCAGTCTCCTAGAAATTTTGGGGCCAGGGTTTATTGAGGAAAATTTGGTGGATAGGGGGCCAGGGAGTGGGGAGTGCTGATTTGTTGGGTCTAAGATGAAATTGTAGGGAGTCAAAGCTTTCCTCTTGCACGCAGTCAGTTCCCGAGTGAGGGCCATAAGACCAGATGAGCTGATTTATTGATTTGGATGGCACCACCTGATCCATCAAGTGAAAGGTCTGAAAAATACCTCAAGCACCAATCTCAAGTTTTACAATAGTGATATTATTCCTAGGAGCAATTGGCGACGTTTAGAATCTGGTGACCTGTAATTGCATGACTCCTAAATCATAATTTCTAATTTTGTGGCTAACTTGTTAGTCTTAGACAACCAGTTTTGGGATTAGTCTTACAAAAGCAAATTTTGGGAAAGGGCTACTATCATCTTTGTTTTAAACTGTAAACTAAGTTAGTTAGTTTGTCCTGAACCCAGGAATGAACAAGGACAGCTTGGAGGTTGAAAGCAAGATGGAGTCAGTTAGGTCAGACCTCTTTCACTGTTATTATTTTCTCACAAATATAATTTTTGCAAAGGTGCTTTCACATTATGGAGGTAGTAAATAATTTTTAGGGCAATTAATTGGTTTTTAAGAACATACATGGCCTGGGAAAAAGTCTGTTGGTCTCATAGAGTAGACAACAGATGCAACTGAAGTCTGTCCATGCGTGTTGACAGACTTTAGTCTTTCCTTCTGCAATATGATTTCAGTTAATGAAAACTCAGGGAAGGGACCAGAGGTGATTGTTTTCTTCTTTGACAGATCTGAACTTTATGCAGATTAGGGAACTTTAGAGAACAACTTCATCCTTTGCTTTAGGGTAGACAGAGGATTGAAAAACAGAAGATGTGGTGGGAGGAAGGTCAGAGGGACCTTGAGGCTTTTTCTCTTGCCCAATATGTCAAAGTGCCATATGTTAGGGTATTTATTTCTGAGCCCCAGCATAGTCCTGGGTTATAACACTATCAAGAGGATTTTTTAAAAAGATTTACACCTCAAAAGGGCAGGGAAATGATTTATAATTGCAAGTATTCTAAAGTAAATTATCTTTAAAAGGAGACATCAGGACACTGGTCAGGAGCCTACTCAGTAAGAAATTAGATGAAGTTCAGTCAAGATGAAGGGAAGGTGTCAAAACCTTCTTGGCCACTTGGGAAGCTGCGAATATTAGCAAAGCTTCAAATCCACACTTTACTTAATATTGTAAAAACAGTGAAAAGAAATCATGTACAGAAACATAACTCATTTAAACTCAGAATTGTTTTGAAATATTTTTTCCCCCAATATCTGAAAGTTATCATCATCACTGTGGACAGAAACACACACACACACACAGAGACTTTGGTAAGCACTGCCCACTGATATAAGTGCTGGAAAGCAAACAGTTATAAAATTCAGTTGCTGGTCTCTAGACGTCTCTGGTCTTGAAAATAAGAGGGAAATCAAGTGATAAGAGCAATACAAGTTCCTACATTTAAATGACAAATGATACGTACTAATACAAAGGGCTCCCAGAACTCAGCAAGGGAGGAATGGCTCAGGAATGGAAACAGGGTTGCATGGGTGAAGTTCTGTCAAATTAAACTTTTTTTTCCCAATTATTATTATTTACGAGGTCAGAGGTTCTTTTGACAATATGTATAGTTAGCAAGAAAAGTGAGGCATAAGATTCTGGATGCGAGTGCACTGTCTTGAATACAGTTAGCAACTTTGGTTCCTGGAACCCTGGGGTTTTATAAAATAACCTAAGGGTTACAGAGGGACTTGGATTGAAAAACAGACCTTATGGAGCTTCAGCTCTTCTTCCCCACAGCATAACAGCTCTGTATCTGTGTATTCTATATTAAGGGGATAAGAGTCTCCGTTTGGCAAGATGATTTCACTACTTTAAGAAGGAGCTAAGGCTGGGTGCTGTGGCTCACACATGTAATCCCAACAATCTGGGAGGCTGAGGCAGGCAGATCACTTAAGGCCAGGAGTTTGAGATGAGCCTGGCCAACATGGTGAAACCTCTCTATCAAAATATAAAAATTACCTGGGCAGGGTGGTACAAGTCTGTATTCCCAGCTACTCGGGAGGCTGAGACATGAGAATTGCTTAAACCCAGGAGGCAGAACTTGCAGTGAGCTAAGATGGCACCACTGCACTCTAGCCTGGGTGACAGAGTGTGACTCTGTTTCAAAAAATGAAAAAAAAGTAGCTGAAAAGCTGTAGAAAACAAAATTAAAAAATCCACACAGGGAAAAACAGGTGTAAAAGAGATCAGGTAATAGACTATATCTTAATTTTTACTTATAAACATTTTCACATCTCTAATTCTGCCCCTCCACACTGCCTCTCATATACAATTATGAATTAAGCACTTGCCTCAGGATGAAAAACAGCCATTCCTCTTTCATACTTCATATCACACTGTGGTGCAATGATATCACCCTTCTAATGGTCCTTTGAGAAGTAAGAGTGGAGAATTAAGGCCAAAACACATAAGCAGAAAATGTGGAAAAAATCTGAGAAAGGATATGCTCCCCAGTGGGCCAGACTGTCCAGATCATTCTAAGTCTTATTGCAGTAAAACAGACTGGGACAATTGAAACTAGGTTTAAAAAAAAAAAAAAAAAGAGAGAGAGAGACATATGCAGGAACCTAGAGCAGGACAAGCAAAGATTCTCAACCCATCTAGATCCATGCACACTTCACACATGGCTTGTGCTGACAAATAAGCCGGAAATTGTAAAAATGTAGGTTAGCATAAGATGTGATGCCCCCAAGAAGAGTACTGGGGTCTAATTGTGCTTCTCCAGAAAACTCGACTTTCAAACTTCTCAGTGAGTTATAAAGTTATAGATAAGCATTTTAGAAATGAAGTTTGGTGGTTTAAAATTTACACTGATTTTACGTAGATATTTACCTGAGATACCCTCAGGCAGAGCAGATTTGAAATATAGGAAGCAACCTGAAAAGATGGAAGGGATGATTCTGATGCATTAAGCATCTCTGTTTAGAAACTTTGTACCTACCCAGGTACTCAGTGGCTTAGGAGAAGAGGAGGTAAGTCAGTGGCTCAGCCAGAGGTCAACCTATTGTAATTTTTATTGGGCAGACATGAGACTGAAATGGGATCAAACATTAATCCAAACCCCAAGAAAAAAAAATCCACCTAGAAAAGTGATTTTAGATTAATGTAATGTCTTTCTTCTTATCTTTTCATATTTTCTAATACGTATTTTCTTCCTTAAAAATGAGGAAAAAGGAAACACCAACTGTTTACCACTGAACAAAAAGCAGTGAGATTAACCTGGATTTTCTCCTTCCCTCCCTCCTCATTTCCTTTGTGAGTGATCAGATATTTCCTCCAGCCAACTACAGGCTGGAATTTCTCAACTCTCTTTATTTAAATCCTGAGGAATGTGAAGAAACATGCACCCCAGGGGGGTTTGCATTTTGTATCTTTTGTTGCCAAATCTAATCCAAACCAATAACTGATTTCTATGACCACAGAAGTACATGGCCATTTCAAAGTCAGATGCATCTTTCTTGTGCATCATCACAGACTTTGAACTGATGCTAGCACAGCCCAGATCCCTTCACTAGAGAGGCTGCAACTGCAAGGTGAAATTTTATTTCCCACCTTGATTTGACAAGGCCCAGATCCACTTAGCTTTAGAAGAAGTTTTCAGATGTGCCTTTTAATAACAACCTATTTTATAAGTGATTTCAATGCTCTTTGACATTGCTGGTTCTGTTGCATGTATCCTTGTAAATTGGTAGTCTTTGGTATTTGTTGTCCTGAATTAATTTCTTAAAAGAGGTTGTCACGTAAGAAGAATCCAATAAATAATTAACTGACTGGAGTGTGGTTGAGACCTCATTATCTATGTATACTTTCATGGTGTTGGAGCTTAGCTTCTGTACTCTGCTCACTTTCAGCAATAACTTTAAAGGACCCAAGACACTTTGATTTTAAAGTGATAATCAATGAGAGACATATTGTTCTTGTCTCTGGTTCTCTAAAGCTCTACAGCACTGTGTGTGAAGAAATAAGATGTTGTCTGCCCAGAGAACAGACCTCTTCTAACACAAGAGACATTTCTACAGAAAAGATCACCCGTTATGACCTTTTCATTTTGGGGGATGGATCGTTTCGTTTCAGCTCTTATCAACTGTCACTATGACTCAGACAATTTAAGGAACCTGTTTGTACCTAGACACATGCTCAGGGTGATTTGGTATTGCCTAATAAGTGCCCCTTTTTTATTGTGCACTGGAATTACCTTTATCAGGGGTGCACTCTGCACACAAGTAATTTCATGCTCAGAGCGAATTAATGGTAGGAGAGTTGGAATAAGGAGATACGGTGCTAATGCTTCCTGAAGCATTTCTTTTGTTAAAAAGAAAGACTCAGCTCTAGCCCACTGCAATGTTTTGTTCCTTCACTGTCTCATTTCCTTACTTCTTAAATACGTTTTCATTGGCTGAGTTTAGGCTTATACAAAATCCTACACAAAGAGGAATAATGATAAACTAGATGTTAATTAGAATTTTTTTCTATTTTAACTCATCTACTGTATACTCCCAACTCTGCCATAATTTGTATCAATACCAACTGAGAGCCTTAATTTGCCCTGTTGAAAATAAGGGATGAGATTTCCCTCCCCTTATTTTTCTCAGAGCATTTACTTTAGAAAACTTGTAAGTACTATCTCCACTCTTTGAAATGCACAAATCCTTTTGAAAACTAGATCGTCCTTTTTACAGTTTTATAATCTAGGAATGTCTGTCTTAAGGACCGGAAACCATCTGTCTGAAATATAAATATCAAGGTAGTGCTCCTATCTCCCTGTTTCTGTGGGAACATAGGAGCCTTGCTCCAAATTGCAAAACTCTCTCTTATCATGAAGATACAAAAAGTTTGGTTTTTTACCTTAATAAAGCCAAATAGCTATGGCAGATAGTTACCCCAATTACCAAGTGCATTTAGGATTAACTGTGTGTGACAAATGGGGCTGTCAAGTCCTCTTAGGGGAGGGTTAGTTATCCTATAGACAATGGGTTGTACCTGCTTGCCTATATTGAAAAGTGAGATTTCTGTCTGTCTTTGCAATCTCTTTTTTTGCTTACCTGTGATGCTTATCACATTGTGGTTGTGTGTGTGTGTGTGTGTGTGTGTGTGTGTGTGTGTGTGTGTGTGTTTTGCTTTAAGACAGAGTCTCATTCTGTTGCCCAGGCTGGAGTACAGTGGCACAATCTCGGCTCACTGCAACCTCTGCCTCTTGGGTTCAAGTGGTTCTCCCACCTCAGCCTCCCGAGTAGCTAGGATTACAGGCACGCGCCACTAAGCCTGGCTATTTTTTGTACTTTTAGTACAGACGGGGTTTCACCATGTTGTTCAGGCTGGTCTTCAACTCCTGACCTCAGGTGATTTGCCCACCTCAGCCTCCCAAAGTGCTGGGATTACAGGTGTGAGCCACCATGTCTGGCTGATTCTGGTTTAATTCTAATTCAATAATAAAACTATTTGATTTCTCTATTACATTTGTAAAGAAGTTTCCAACTTAGAACATGCTCCTTCTCAGACTACTTTAAACTGAAGGAAACTGAGAAAACTGCGGAAGTGAGAATGTCACCCTCTGACCTTCTCCCACCTTTTTCCCCGGAAGCGTGCTATAAAAGATTTATCTGACCTTCCTCTGAAGCAACTGTTCTGCCTACACCCAGCAGAAAATAAGCCAAAGACTCATAGTGACCAAGAATCTAAACAAACAGGACTTACCATTTTCTCCTAGTTTATTCCAATTAGATCATACCGTTTTGTCTCTCAATCATACCTCTGCATGACTGTTCATAAAAATACGTATTATTTTTCTGTTTCTTGGGTCTTCTTTGCTGAAGGCTTGCATATCACATAATGCTCACATCAAATAAATTTGGGTGATTTTCTCTTGTTAATCTGTCTTTTGTTATAGTGGTCTCAGACAAAAAAAAAGATACTACTTTTTCTCCCCTATCCTGAGCTGGAAGAGAATTCTGTTTTTAATTATATTTTCCCAACCACAGTTTGCTAGTGTGAGGACAAGTAAAGGACCAACCAGTTATTTCCCATGGATTACAGAAAGTAAGCCTTTGAAATCTACCAGAGCTTTTACCAGGACGTTTTCTCATATTTAATTGTTTGCTAAAATATTTAGGTTAAAATATGTCTTTTCTGCATACATTGAAGTTCATAAAACTATGTGTAGACATTTTCATAGTCAACTGAATTTGGGCTAGTAATGTGCTTCCATTAACATTTCAGACCAACTCTGAAACTTAAAACTAAAGGTAAACGCTATTTTTTCAATCACAACTAATTTACTCTGTCATATTCTGAAAAAGATGAATTACTGAAAGTACCTGAATTCCAATTAATTCTGGAGCTAATTTGTGGTGTAACTTGGAATAAATTTTGGTTCTCCAGTAAATGCTTATGATTTCCAAAACTAAACTGTTGAAAGTAAAAAGCAAAATATAGGCAAAAATTGTGAAATCTTTTATGACTATCCCAGTACACAGCTGCCTATGTACATGAATTGTTAGAGAGTTAATCATAACTAGCATTAATTGGATAACCATAGTATGCAGCTTTGTACTGTTTTCTTTTTATGACTTCAGTATACAGATGTTGTTTGATTTAAGGTGGAATTATGTCCCAATAAACCCAGCGTAAGTCAGAAATATCATAAGTCACAAATGCATTTAATACCCTTATAAACCCATCATAAAGCTGAAAAATTGTAAGTCAAACCATCTCAAGTCCAAATGCTCCTAGACTTACAACGGAGTCATGTCCTGATAAATCCATAGTAAAGACAAAAAATTTTAAGTGAAGCCATCCCATGTCAGGACCATCTGTATCTGTATTAGCGGTGGTTTAAAAAATTCACTGTATTTTTTTATGAGATCACTTGGAGAAGCTATATAGTTGCCTCAGAATTACTGCCATGTATTAGAAGAGTTTTAGAATTTCAAAGAATTCACTACAAGTTCCTTTCTGGTATTTTTTTTAACCTGGCGACAGGCTGAAACCAAATGTTCACCTATTCAATAAATGAATCTTTAGGAAATACAAGATCAAGGAAGACAATAGTTGGCATATGAGGTCAGCAAGATAGGCAGTATCTTTTTTTTAAGGAAAATTATTTTCAAGTATAACTAAATAATAAAGCTTTTTTTTCCTCATGTGGTCCTGTTGTAACTGGTTGAAGGTGTCCAGGTTCTTGGCATTACACTTCACAGTGTGGGAGCAGGCCCAAGCCTAGGGGCTCAGAAGCCCAGGTTACAGAATGTTCTGGGGTTTCAATACCCTCTAGAGGTTTCCCACTGGTTACTTGGTGCATGTCCTATATCAAAGAAGAGAATGAAGTAAAGTTACAAAGACATTTACTTGGTATGCACTCTATATAAATGGAGAGGAACTCACCGTGTGTGTGTGTGTGTGTGTGTGTGTGTGTGTGTGTGTGTGTGTGTGTGTGTCCTATGTAAATGGGGAGGATGAAGTGAAGTTATAAAGCCATTCACATTTCTGTCATTGCTGAGGTGTTTCCATTTTATTCAGTTCTAGGAAGTCAGTGTGAATTGGCTTTATGTTCCCTGCCTCACTGTAACTGGCTCTGAAGCCAGTAATTTCAATGAGGGCCACTTAATAGACTTGAGTTAGGTCCTCTCAAGATAAGTTGCATCATATTGTTTCATAGGAAATGAGTGAAGAAATGAATAAAAGTAAAATTTCAAGATCTGCTAAAAATGGCAAGGTAATTTAGGTCTTCATATTCAAACTTTTGGTACATATATCACCAAATTTGTAAAAAATCGTATTTGAGGCTTCTGATTTCCAGTCTGGCATGTAAGACATTTGGGAGTCATCTCTTTATCCTGACAAAAAGTCAAAACTGAACAAACTGAAAGTCAACAACTTCTCTTAGATCCATCAGAGAAGGAGGGCCACAGGACAAACCATTGTCTCCAAAACTGGAGACTGATAGGGGGACATGGGGAATCCCAGCTTGCCAGCAGCCAAAACCCATAACCAGTCCCGGGGAAGGAAAAAGTAAACGTAATTCATGAATTTTTGGAAGCAGAATATGGACAAGTCTGAGACCTAAAAAAAAAAAATTCAGGGGAGGGAGTCTAGTCATAGGGAAACCCCACACTTGTGTGAGTTTTACCTCCAGGGCCTCTACCAGGTTCTCACAGTAAAGATGACACAAAAATATCCTCTGGCTTCTCACAGGAGGAGGGGAAAAGGAGACATTTTGAAATACAACAGAGGATACTGTTCTTCTTACTTAACAAGTCCTGTCTTCAAAAGAAACTATTTCATATTTCATCAGAGTCTAATTGACTTGGGAGAAATGGAGTTACAAACTCCAGCCCCCTCTAGCCATCCTGTCTTACCTGAAAAGGGGAATAAAATTGAGAAGCATTTGTGAAGTGTACAGCCCAGCAGCACAGGCTCAATAAAAGACTGTGACCTAATCATAGGACTGCAGAATGTTTCTTCTCCCCTACACTCAACAACCACATCTTGAACAGTCTATTTATTACAGAGTCTATTGCCTAAATCCATATAATGTGCAACACCCAGAGTAAACTCTACTGTAAATTATGGACTTTACATGGTAATGATGTGTCCGTGTAGGTTCATAAATTATAACAAATATTACAATCCCCTTTGCCAGGGGATGTTGATAATGGGAAGGTTATGTATATGTGGGAAGAGAGGACATCATGTGTGACTTTTGTGAAAGGAAATTAAATTTGGGGACCACAAACTCATTAAGCCAAAGGGAAATGCCAAACTGCGAACTCGGTCACACATACCTGCCTCCACCTTTTGGTTCCTGAATAAAATGATGAAAAGCGACCTGCCTTCCCCATATTTTGCCCACAAGGAAATTCCTGGTGAGCTGTTGAAACTTCACCATGGCCATGCTAATTGATAGCTTATCTTTGCAGGTGCAGTGGCCTCAGCTGCCAGAAACAAACGCATATCGGATTGTTCCCCTACCCCTTTGGGTCTGTGTTATCTTACATAAAATGCAGATTCCCCACATTTTTCCTTTGCCCCTTTTGTTTATGGGAAAACTGTGTACTTCTCATCATCCCACCCTTTTCCCCTTTAAATTGAGAAGCCTCAAAATCATCTTTGGAAAAAGGCATAGACCTGTTTCCTAGATGCGTCCTTAGCTTTGGCAAATAAATCTCCAAAAACGATTGAGACAAGTCTTATCATTTTCTTCAAATGACAATTTCAACAATAATTACAAGGCATACTAAAAGGCAAAAATCAGGGAGACTCTGATACAGCAGAAAAGTTGGAATTATCAGACCAGAAATGTAAAACAAGTGTGATTAACATGCCAAAGGATCTAACAGGAAAAGTAAATAACATACAAGGACAGATCAGTAATGTTAGCCAAGAAATATGAGTTCTAGAAAAGAATTAAAAAATTATATTAGAGACAAAAAAACACCATAACAACATCTATCAGGATGGTCAAATTTTATAATATTTTGTAAATTTTTAAAAATTACAAAATGTTACCAAATGCTACTTAGGATTTGAAGCAAAAGGAATTTTCTTTTCTTTTCTTTTCCTTTTTGAGACAGAGTCTTGCTCTTTCACCCAGGCTGGACTGCAGTGGCGCAGTATCTCCATTCACTGCAACCTCTGCCTCCTGGGTTCAAGCGATTCTCCTGCCTCAGCCTCCCAAGTAGCTGGGATTATAGGTGCGCGTCACGCTGCCTGGCTAATTTTTTATTCTTAGTAGAGACAGGGTTTCGCCATGTTGGCCAGGCTGGTCTCTAACTCCTGACCTGAGGTGATCCACCCGCCTCGGCCTCCCAACGTGCTGGGGTTATAGGTATGAGTCACCGTGCCCGGGCACGAATTTTCATTCATTGCTGGTGGGAATGCAAAATGTTACAACCACTTTGAAGACATTTTGATACTTTTTTTTTTTTAACAAAGGTAAACATACGCTTGCCACATAATCCTCCAATTGTACTCCTAGGTATTTATCCAAAGAAGATGAAATAAGTCCACACAAACACCAGCACACAGATGTTTACAGTACTAGCTTTATTTATTATTGCAAAAACTGTAAAGCCACCAAGTTGCCCTTCAGCAGATGAATGGATAAATGATGGTATATTCAGACAATGGAATATTTTCCATAGGCAAAACGAAATGCACTTATCAAGCCATGAAATACACAGAAGAAATTTAAATGCACATTACTGACGAATCCAGTCTGAAAAGTCCACATACCATGGTTATTCCAACTATAAGACATTCTAAAAAGGCAAAACTATGAAGACAAAAAAAAATCAGTGGTTGATAGGGTTATAGGAAAGGGAAGGATGAACAGGTTATTTAGGACAGTAAAACTATTTTGTACGATACTATGATGGTAGATGCATGCCATTATAAATTTGCCCAAATCCATAGAATGTTCAAAACCCCAAGTGAAACCAACTGTAAATTATGGACTCCATGTAGGAATGATGTGTCAATGTAGGTTCATAAATTGTAACAAATGTTACAATCCCCTCTGTCAGGGGAGGCTGATAACGGGGAAGGTTATGTGTATGTGGGAACAGAGGGCATAAGGGCAACATCTGTAATTTCTCAATTTTACTGAGGAACAAAAATGTTATAAATAGACTTGAGTCTATTTAAAAACTGTATCAGAAATGAAGAATGCCTTTCATGATTCATTAGTATTGAACATGGATGAGGAAACATCATCAGAGTTTCAGGAGGCCAATAGAAACCCGCAAAACTGAAAAGCAAAGAGAAACAAAAAGCTGAAAAAAAAGGAACATAGTATTTTAGAAATAGGCAACAATGACAAAAGATGTCACATGTGTAATATGAGCATACCAGAAAAACGGAAAGGAACAAAAAAAATGAAATAATTTTGACTAACATCACGAAATTAATGCCAGATACGAAACCACGGATCCAGAAAACTCAGAGAGCACCAGTCAGGATACATGTCAAAAAAGCTACCTAAGCATATCATATTCCAACCGCAGAAAATTACAGATACAAAAAGTCTGGAAAGAAGCTGGGGTGAAAGCAATAGGGAAAAGCTAACCTACAGAAAAGTAAACCTAAGAATCACATTCAACTTTTCTTCAGAAACCATGCAAGAGAGAGGGGAATGTAGTAAAATATTTGAAGTTTGGAGAGAAAAAAACAAACAAACAAACAAAAACCCAGAAACCTAGAATTCTTTATCTTTTCAGAAATAAAGACTTCTTCTTCAGATATTGAAAAATGGAGAGAGTTTGTTGCCAATAGGCCTGCCTTGCAAGAAACATTTAAAGTTCTTCAGAGAGAAAGAAAATAATAGAGGTCAGAAACTCGGTACTACATAAAGAAAAGAAAAGTATTAGAGAAGAAATAAGTGAAGGTAAAATATAAACTTTTATTTTTCTTATTTTTAATTTATGTAAAAAATAATCATTTGTTCAAAATAATAGCAACAATGTATTTGATGACTACAGTTTACTATATGTAAAATGAATAGCAATGATGTAAGAGATGAATGCGAGGAATTAGGAATATTTTGTTCTTATAAGCAACTTGCACTACTCATAAAGTGGTATAGAATTATTTAAAAGTGGACCTGGGCTAGTTATAAATGCATATACCAACTCTACAGAAACACTAAAAACTAAAAAAAGAGAAAAAAATGGTATAATTTATATGCTAGGGAAAGAGAAAAAAAGAGAGAAAAAATGAATAATATAAAATGCTCAATTAAAATCACTAAGGCAGAAAAATTGTAGTAGACAAAAATGGGAAGAAAGAACAAGAGTAATGAATAGACAGCAACAAATGTGGTCGATATTAATCCAATTGTCATCATTAATCCATCATCATCATAAATAGCAATAGCTTAAATGCACCAATGAAAAACCAGAGATTGTCAGAGTGGATTAGAAAATCACCCAACTATATGCTATCTGCAAAAAAAGAAAAAAGAACTTATTTTAAATATAAAAATGCATACAGATTAAAAAGTAAGGAGATAAAGATGTACCATGCTAACGCTAATCAAACAAACGTAAGCTTGAGTAGCTGTACTGATTTCAGGCAAAACATACTTCAGAGCAAAGAAAATTCTCAGGAATAAAGAATGGCATTACATAATGATAAAAAGATCAGGTCCTTAAGAAGACACAAACATTTTTATAGTGCATGCAGTTAACAAGAGAGCATCAAAATACATGAGGCAAAAACTGATAGAACTGCAAAGAGAAATACATGAACATACTATTACAGTTGTAGTCTTCAACACCACTCTATCAGAAGTACACAGATCCAACAGGAAGAAAATCAGTAAAGACGTAGCTGAACTCAACAGCAGCAGCAACATCAATCAGCTGGATACACCTGACATCTATTGACTACTTCAGCCCGCAACAGCAAAATACTCATCTTTTTTAAACTCACAGGGAACATTCGCCAAGATAGACCACATTCTGGGCCATGAAACACATCTTAATAAATTAGAAGATTAGAAATCATACAATGT
This sequence comes from Homo sapiens, assembly GCF_000001405.40. Classification (NCBI taxonomy): domain Eukaryota; kingdom Metazoa; phylum Chordata; class Mammalia; order Primates; family Hominidae; genus Homo; species Homo sapiens. The sequence goes on along the minus strand of NC_000008.11, from coordinate 13,921,472 downwards.
CTGCTCTCAGACAACAGAGAAAGTCAGCTGTAATATTCCAAACTATCTGGAGATTAAACAATACATTTCCAATTAAAACAGGGGCCAAAAAAGAAATGTCAAGAAAATCTGAAAACATTTGGAACTAAGTGAAAACGAAAATACAGCATACAATTTGTGGGATGCAGCAAAAAAAAATTTATAGGATTTAAATTTATACATTTATAGGTAAATTTATAGGATTTAATACACGTTTTCCAAAAGAAGAAAATATAAAATTCCTAACAAAATTCTACCTCAAGAATCTAGAAAAAGAAGAGCAAATTAAATCCAAAGGAAGCAGCAGCAAAGAAATATTAAAAATTAGAGCATAAATCAATGAAAATGCAAAGAAAAGAAAACTTAACACCATCAAAGATGACACTATGAAAAGGTCAGTAAAACTGACAAGCCTGAAACCAAGCTAAGAAAAAAATAAGATACAAATTACTAATATAAAAAATGAAAGTGGGATATCAGTACAGATCCCACAGATATTTAAAAGATAATAAAGAAATACTATAAACAACTCTAGGCTCATACATTTGATAATCTAGATGGAATGGTCCAATTTCTTTTTTTTTTTTTTTTTTTTTTTTTTTGAGACGGAGTCTCGCTCTGTCGCCCAGGTCGGACTGCGGACTGCAGTGGCGCAATCTCGGCTCACTGCAAGCTCCGCTTCCCGGGTTCACGCCATTCTCCTGCCTCAGCCTCCCGAGTAGCTGGGACTACAGGCGCCCGCCACCGCGCCCGGCTAATTTTTTGTATTTTTAGTAGAGACGGGGTTTCACCTTGTTAGCCAGGATGGTCTCGATCTCCTGACCTCATGATCCACCCGCCTCGGCCTCCCAAAGTGCTGGGATTACAGGCGTGAGCCACCGCGCCCGGCCGGTCCAATTTCTTTAAAGGTACAATCTACCACACTCTAAGAAATGCACAATTTGAATAGGCCTATATCTACAAAAGAAACTGAACTAATGATCGATAACTTTCCAAAACAGAAAGCATCTAGAAAAGCCTAGATGGGTTTACTACCAAATACTTGTGGTAGAAATGATACCACTTCTCCACAATCTCTTTCAGAACACAAAAGCAGAGGGAATACTTCTTAACTCATTCCATGAGGCCAACATTACCCTAATACAAAATCAGACCAAGGCATTAGAAGAAAAGAAAACTATAGGCCATTATCTCTCATAACCATAGATGTAAAAACCTGCAATAAAATGTTAGCAATAAAATAATGATGAATAAAAGAAATATGTGACCAAGTGAGATTTATCCTGGGAATGTAAGACTGATTCAGTATTTGAAAATCAATTAATGTAATCCATCAAATCAACTGGGTAAAAACGACAAATCACATGATTATATCAAAATATGAAGAAAGGCATCTGACAAAATTCAACACCCATTCATGTTAAAACTTCTCAGTAAAGAAGGAATAGAGAAGAGATTCCTCAACTTGATAAAGAGCTTTTTTTTTTTAAATTACAGCTAGCATTATACTTAATGATGAGAAACTTGAAGCTTTCCCAAGGCAAGTAAGTGTCCTCTCACTACTCCTTTTCAGTATTGTACTGGAAGTCCTTATTAAGGCAAAAAAAAAAAAAAAAAAAAAAAAAAAAAAAAAAAAAAAAAGAAAGGTATAGTGATTTGGTAAGAAAAAATAAAACTGCTGATGACTGATCGTCTATGTAGAAAATTGAAATGGAAACAAACAAACAAAGAACATCCTGGAACTAATAAGCAATTATAGAAAGGCTTCAGTATGCAAGATTAATGTACAAAAATAAAATGCTTTCCTATCAATCAATACCAGCAATGAGCAAGTGGAAAGTGAAATTCAAAACACAATACCATTTACATTAGCAAAACTAAGAAAATGAAATGCTTAGGCATAAATTTTACAAAATATTCCCAAGTTATATGCTTTTAATAAAAAGCACACAACTGATGAAACCAAAGAACTAAATAAACTGAGAGATATTCCATATTTGTGGCTAAGACTCAATATCGTCAAGACATCAGGTCTCTCCAACTTACAGTTTCAACACAATTTCAATCAAAATATCAGAAAGTTTTTTACTGGATACTGACACGCAGATTCTAAACTTTATATAGAGATGCAAAACACCCAGATTTTCTAATACAATATTGAAAAATATCAAAGTCAGCGAACTGACACTACTCGAATTCTAGATTTATTATAAAGCTATGGTAATGAAGATAGTGTGGTATTGGTGAAAGAATAGACAAACAGATCAATGGAGCAGAATAAAGACCCAAAATATAGAGGCACAGAAATTTATTCAACTGAACTTTGATGAAGGAGCAAAGGAAAAATAATGGCACAAAGACAGTCTTTTCTACAAACCTTTCTGAAACAATTGTACGCCTACATGCAAAAGAAAAAAAAAGAAAAAAGAATTGAGACACAGACCTTATATTCTTCCACCCAATTATCTCAAAATCAGTCATAGAACTAAATGTGAGATACAAAACTGTGAGACTCCTAGAAGATAATGTGGGAGAATACTTACATGACCTTGGGTATGGTGATGAATTTTTAGATCCAACACCATGCATGATTCATGAAAGAAAAAAATGGTAAGCCAGTCTTTATTAAAATTTAAAACTTCTGCTCTGTGAACGACACTGTCAAGAGAATAAGATGGGCCAAAAACTGAGGAAAATATTGCAACAGACATATCTTTGCAAAAGATTCTTGTCCAGAATATGTAAGGAACTCTTTTATTTTATTTTTATTATACTTTAAGTTTTAGGGTGCATGTGCACAATGTACAGGTTAGTTACATATGTATACATGTGCCATGCTGGTGTGCTGCACCCATTAACTCACCATTTAGCATTAGATATATCTCCTAATGTTTTCCCTCCCCCCTCCCCCCAGCCCACAACAGTCCCCAGAGTGTGATGTTCCCCTTCCTGTGTCCATGTGTTCTAATTGTTCAATTCCCACTTATGAGTGAGAATATGCGGTGTTTGGTTTTTTGTTCTTGCGATAGTTTACTGAGAATGATGATTTCCAATTACATGAACTCATCATTTTTTATGGCTGCATAGTATTCCATGGTGTATATGTGCCACATTTTCTTAATCCAGTCTATCATTGTTGGACATTTGGGTTGGTTCCAGGTCTTTGCTATTGTGAATAGTGCCGCAATAAACATACGTGTGCATGTGTCTTTATAGCAGCATGATTTATAGTCCTTTGGGTATATACCCAGTAATGGGATGGCTGCGTCAAATGGTATTTCTAGTTCTAGATCCCTGAGGAATTGCCACACTGACTTCCACAATGGTTGAACTAGTTTACAGTCCCACCAACAGTGTAAAAGTGTTCCTATTTCTCCACATCTCTTGAAACTCAACAATGAGGAGATGTGTAGCCTGATTGTAATAAGAAAACATGTTCCTCATATGTCATTGGGAAACTGCAAGTTAAGATAATGGTAAAATGCTACTGCACACCTATTCGAATGGCCACAGTCCAAAACACAGAAGGCATTAGCTGCTGGGGAGAATGTGATGGGCAAGAACTCTCACTCATTACATGTAAGAGTACAGGGTGGTGCAGACACTTTGGAGGACAGTTTGGCAGCTTTTCATAAAACTAAGCATGTGTTAATTAAGTGATCTAATGGTGGCGCTGCTTAGTGTTTACCTGAATGTGTCGAAGACTTGTGTCCACACAAAACGTGCACACAAGATTTTGTAGCAGCTTTGTTCATGATTGACAGGACTTGGAGGCAGAGAGATGGTCTATCAAGCCAGGAAAATACATGGAGGAAACTTGGGTTCGTATTGCTGCGTGGAAGAGGCCAGTCAAAGAGGGCTGTATATTGTGTGATTCCAACTATGTGACATTCTGGAAAATGCAGAATGATGGAGACAATGAATAACACATGGTTGTTGGCAGATTAAGGCAGCAGGATAGAGGGAGAAACAAAAAGGCTGAACACAAAGAAGTTTGCAGGAAATGAATTCATTCTATATAATGCTACACTGGTGCACATGTGCCATCATATGTTGAGACCTGTAGAATGCACAGCACCAGGGAGTGAAAACCATAGTATGAACTGTTGACTTTGGGTGGTGATGAAATGTCAACGCATGTTCATCAATGACAACAAATGCATCACTCTGATTCAGGATGTTAATGGTGGGGTGGGAGGAAGGGATTTATGAGAAATCTTTGTACTTTCTTTTCAATTTTCTTCTGAATCTAAAACTTCTCTAAAAAATTTCTACTTAAAAATATATTTGGATATATATGCTTTTAAAAAATTCTAGTGTTCTCCAGAGTAAAGCAGAAAAAAAAATTTACCTAAGGAATATATATTCCCATATTAAACACATTAAGATCACCAAGATTGTGTTTACAAATAGTAAATTAAACATAAGTAACTGCAAAATGTTTTGTCTTACAAGCTATTATTTTGTTTTAGAGAAAATAAAATTCAAAATTGTGAGCTTATGATTTTCATTCACGTCATTAAAATTTTAACTTTCTAAATCTATTGTCCATAGTCAGAAATTACTCTGCACAAGTATGTGCTTTTTGAAATGTTGCTTAAAGGATTTTATTTTCAGTCATGCTGCAAAATAAAATATCCGACTCTTAGAACAGAATATTAGAATTATCTGATCCTCAGATAATAGAATTTAATCAGATAGAAGCAAGATAGCTGTGATGGACAGTTATTTATTGAAGCGTAATATGATTTTCAGTCTTGATAAGCAAAGTGCCCTCTTTAATATTATGATTGACAACTGAAGTGAAATCAGCTTTAAGTACAGAAAGTAAGATAAAAGCATTTTCATATAACCCTAGGAAAGTTTGATGTTGTACACTGTGTATTAGTCCATTCTCGCACCGCTATAAAGAAATACCTGAAGCTGGGTAATTTATAAAGAAAAGAAGTTTAATTGCCTCACGGTTCTGCAAGCTGTACGGAAAGCATGGTGGCTACAACTTCTGGGGAGACCTCAGGAAACTTACAATCATAACGGAAGGGGAATGGGAAGCAGGCACACCACACATGGCAGGAGCAGGAGGAAGAGAGAGGGGCGTAGGTGCTACACACTTTTAAACAATCATATTTTGTGAACATTCACTCACTATCACAACGGTAGCACCGAGGGGGAAATCTGCCCCCATGATCCAATCATCTCCTACCCTGTCTCACCTCTAACATTGGGGATTACAATTTGACATGAGATTTGGGTGGGAACATAGATCCAAACTATATCACTCTGGAAATGAGTCATTAGATCACCTAGATACCAATACTTCTCTATCATAGAGTTACTCTTTTTTTTTTCTTTTTTTTTTTTGAGATGCAGTCTTGCTCCATTGCCCAGGCTGGAGTATAATGGTGTGATCTCAGCTCACTGCAACCTCCGCCTCCCATTTTCAAGTGATTCTCCTGCCTCAGCCTCCTGAGTAGCTGGGATTACAGGTGTCCACCATCACACCCGGCTAATTTTTTATTTTTAGTAGAGACAGGGTTTCACCATGTTGGTGGGACTGGTCTCGAATTCCTGACCTCAGGTGATCCACCCACCTCAGCCTCCCAAAAATGCTGGGATTACAGGCATGGGTCACCACACCTGGCCTCACAGAGTTATTTTCATAGAATTTTAAAACCACTTCACTGAGCTCTGAGGCTTGCCATCCATTCTCATTTCTTTTTGTGTTTCTCAGTGACTCACACAATACCTGGCTCACTAAATGTATTAAACAACTGTTAACAAAAAACAAACCAACAAAAAGGTATAGGATGAACTCTGTAAAATATGTCATTCCATGGGGATGTACTTTTGTTACTGGAAGCAATATATTTATTTTGTCTCCCATATAAAGGTGTTTCCAAGAATCAAAAGAATATTTACAAGTTGTTAATAAAACTACTGAGTAATTGCCCCCAATTAACCAATACGCAAGGCTTTGAAATCAGACATTCTGATTCCAGAGGCTGGCTGGTACCTACCACATCAAATTGCCTCCCAATATAATCAAGGCCTTCAATGCTGATGAAAATGTTTTTAAGACTGAATGATTAAAGTTTAAGGTCAGATTGATAGCTGATTTTAAGACTGGGAAACAAATGTACATACTTGTTATTTGCCTAAGGTCATCAAGTTTCAAAGCCACAAACTTTAGTCTGAAAGCTAATTCATATATTAAAAGTTAAAAAAAGTGGAGAAATTATCAAGCACATACTTTTTTTTAAAGCATTCTTACAACTATCACTAAAGACTCTGCCATTCATAAGTTTTCTGTATCTCAACTAATTATAGGCTGAACGATTCCTCACCAAAGAAGCAATTGGTAATTTTCATTTTCCAAGAATAGCCACAGTAACAAAGGTAGTTAAAATGAGTGGTCATTTGCAACATTTTCCCTCCATCTCTCTAAAAAATCTTGTATAGAAAGACATTTATAAGCTTGAGATGAAAGAGACACTGTAGCTCTAGCACAGAATGCTCTCAGTGGAGGCTGAGGCGGAAGGCGGGCATCTATCTTGTCTTCAAGTAGCTTCACTGTTTTGTGTAAAGTGGAGATTTTAGGTATAAGTTATGAAAACCACTTTTGTAAATTCTGTGGTTTCACTCCCTCCTGATTATTATTATTATTTTGTTGTTGTTGTTGTTGTTGTTGTTATTTTGAGGCAGAGTCTCACTCTGTCGCCCAGGCTGCAGTGCAGTGGCCTAATCTCAGCTCACAGCAACCTCCGCCTCCCAGATTCAAGTGATTTTCCTGCCTCAGTCTCCCGAGTAGCTAGGGCTACAGGAACACGCCACCACACATGGCTAATTTTTGTATTTTTAGTAGAGATAGGGTTTCACCATGTTGGCCAGGCTGGTCTCGAACTCCTGACCTCAGGTGATGTACCTGCCTCAGCCTCCCAAGTTGCTGGGAGGGAGGCCCACCACGCCCGGCTCCCTCCTGATTATGGAAGAAATGTTGGTAGTTGAAACATGAGACTCCAAACTGGAAATAGCTTTGTCTCCATTGAAAAATGTCATATGCACTTTGGAAATACAGTCAAGACTGATTCTTCCAATTAGGCTCTCCTGTTAGATACTTTCCTCTGAAGCTCATATTTCTGGTAGGTATATAAATCAGGGTGTTAAAAGTCAAGATTGTATACTTTCATAGGTCAGGGTTCTTTCATACCTCAGATGTTTGAGAAGTATACTGAACATGATGTTAAAAATCTTCTACTTATATTCTTTTATCTGATGTGTGGGTCATTTAATTTTTCCAGGCATGCTTCTTCGTCACCCTTAAAACACAGGTGGTGACTTGGATAACCTCTAAGACCTCCCATGATAGTAAACTCTCTGGCTTTAAATATTCAGCCACAGATTCTTGAGTATCTTTTTTTATACTCAAGTCTTATCTACTCTAACTTTAAATCACTTTATCAGCTTGTCTCTTAGCTTCATACTATATAATAAACTATATTTCTCTCTAATGTGAGTGTTCATCAGACCCAGTATCAACCAGGGTCTCTCAGAAAAAAATAGGTTACATTTGTATACACTTGTGCCTAACTCCTGCCTTAGTATTTACATTTATAAAGCTTTTTCAACTCTATGAATCTGAAGTGTAGTAAATGTACGGCATAGTATTAACTCTGCAGAGAATGATAAAGTTATTATTTGGCATGATTTAAGAGTATTCAGAGACTTTAAGACCAAATGTCCTATTGTTGGAATTACATAGTGTGTAGCCGTTTCAGACTGGCTTCTTCTACTTAGTAATATGCATTTAAATTTCCTTAGTGTCTTTTCATCACTTGATAAATGCATTTCTTTTTAGCTCTGAAAAATATTCTGTTGTCTGAATATACTAACTCTCATTTATTCAACCATTCATCTAATGATGGACAACCTGGTTGCTTCCCAGTTTTGGCAATTATGAATAAAGCTACTACTACAAGCATTTGTGTGCAGGTGTTTGTTTGGATTTATTTCAACTTCTTTCGGTAAATGCCAAGGGATACAATTGCAGGACTGCATGGTAAAAGCATGTTTACCTTTGTTTTTTTTTTTAAAAAAAAAATAAGTATCCACCGGGCACGGTGGCTCATGCCCGTAATCCCAGCACTTTGGGAGGCGGAGGCGTGCAGATCACAAGGTCAGGAGATTGAGACCATCCTGGCTAATACGGTGAAACCCCGTCTCTACTGAAAATACAAAAAATTACCCAGGCATGGTGGCGGGCGCCTGTAGTCCCAGCTACTAGGGGGACTGAGGCAGGAGAATGGCGTGAACCCAGGAGGTGGAGCTTGCAGTGAGCCGAGATCACACCACTACACTCCAGCCTGGGCGACAGACCGAGACTCCGTCCCCAAAGAAAAAAAAAAGTATCAAATTGACATCCAAAGTGGCTGTACCATTTTGCATTCCCACCAGCAATGAATGAGAATTCCTGTTGTTTCACATCGTCATCAGCATCTGATTGCAAATATTATAGGTTCTGGCCATTTTAATAGATGTTACAGTGCAATGTGTTAGTTGTAATTTTACTGTGTAGGGTTCAAATATATTTTTATTAGTAAATATATCAAAATTATTGACTTTATTTTTTTCCCTTTTTATTTCCCTTTAACAAAAATTAAACAGCTCTTGATCTTATTTCAAATACTTAGTACTTTCTTCCTAGAAATTACAAATTTATGATTACTCCCAGATAGTCATAGTGTATTTCTTATCATAACTAATGAATATGTAGTTAGAACGTGACCCACTATCTTGCTTGTCATCTTGTTTAATGAGGCTTGGGATGAGATGGACAGTTTACATTACTTCTAAAATTACATGTATTATCTTTAATTATAATAGTTTACTAGAAAGTTAATGACTTGAATTACAAAATCTATGTCCATTTCATAGGCATTCACTTTCAAAACTAAAAAAAAAAAAAAAAAAAAAAAAACACCTCTTGAAATCTCCCTTTGACATCTCTAAATGAAGTCAGTAACACAAGGCTGCTTTATTTATTAGTGATGTTCCCAGGGAAAGAAGTACTGGCAAGGTAACAGAACTCTTCAGATGAAGGCAAATTCTATAGACAAATACACAGATTCTCTGTAAATTAAATAAACAACGAGTATTGTTTTTATAAATTTAACACATACAGTATTTGAATATTTTGTAAAGAATTACATTTGTAGTCAAATAACGTTTTCATGTATTTAGAAATTACTTTTGTTGTTTCAAAGTGCAGAAAAAGTTTGGATTCATGGATAAGCTGTTGAAAATGACAACAGTCTTAAACGATTGCCTTCAAATCTCAATCCTTTATTCTGAGTTCTATAAAAAAGTAGTTGATTTATCAACCCAATGCAATGTACTAGTAATCGCCATGCTATTTAAATATTACATGTAATACATTTAAACATGTTTGTTGTTTTCATCTTTGACAAAGTTAAAAATATTTTGAATATTTTAGAATTTGCACTACACGTATGTAGAATCCCTAAGGTGTGTGGCTAAATTATTTACTAAAGGTTATAAATTATAAGAGGATTCTTATTGATACACTGGGCGACTGGAATTGTCATTCTCTTTGATAACATTCTACTTCAAGTTTTATTTTGGTGATAAAGATAAACCTATTGGTGTATTTCCTATAGAACGCGTAAGAAGCATTGAGCTGATTATCCATTGGATTGCCTGAGAGAGTGATTTTCCCATGTTTCTGAATGAAGGCTTGACACTTTTAGGAGAAGGATACTTTTGTACCAAAACTTAACTCTTTAAACTCGAAGAGATAAAAAGCAAACAAAAGTTTAAATTACATTTTTATTTAACATAAGCTTCTAAAGAATAAAAAATACATATATATATATACACATATATATATACACACACATATACATACACTTTCTGGAAGATTAATGTTGTCAAATTTGAGAAATTTTTAGAATAACTGAGTTATCAGTTTTGTGATAGATTATCAACTGCTGTTCTTATGAAATTCTTTTATTGCTCAAATTTTTTCACTGAAAAAAACTGAAAATGCAATCAGTCTATGAGGGATCTCTGTATTATTTTTGTAGGAAGTAATTTTTCTGTGGAAGAATTTATTTTTTCTCCTTCAAACTCTATGATTCAAACATCAAGTAAAACTCAATATACACAGGCATATTGGTTGTATTTTATCCTATGATTTATACAGACTACTGTAACTTCTGGAGCTTTCTCAGAGGAGAAAAGAAGATGAATGTTTTATGAGGAAGGGGCATACACTGTAACCATTTTATATATTTAGTGCCCTCATACATTTCTCTCCAAAAAAAAATACACTTTGTAACCCAAGAACAGAAAACCAAACACTGTATGTTCTCACTCATAAGTAGGAGTTGAACAATGGGAGCACGTGGACACGGGGAGGGGAACATCACATACTGGGCCCTGTCAGCAGTTGGGGGACTAGGGGAGGGATAGCATTATGAGAAATACCTAATGTAGATGACGAGTTGATGGGTGCAGCAAACCACCATGGCACGTGTATATCTATGTAATAAACCTGCACTTTCTGCACACGTTTCCCAGAACTTAAAGTATAATAAAAATAAAAACACACTTTGTTATTCCTTTTTAAATTATTATCTTAATCAAAATAATAGGTTTGCGTGGTATGAAAGGTCAAATAGCTCTGTGAGGAATATGGAAAAGAGTAGCCCCAAGCACCAGCAGGAAAAAAAATTATTTTTCTTCAATCCTCATAGGTTCTTAGTTGGAATAGATCCTTATGACAAAAGACAGGTTAACAAAGGAAAAACAAGGAGAAGTTTATTAACATATATATTATATACATAACATACATGGGAAATACCCAGGGATTGAGTAGTTTTCAAATAAAGCGGCTTTGAATTTTAGCTTAATGTCAACAGGGAACAGAACATTTTTAGGGATGTACGGGGTGACAAATTTTGGAAAGGCAAACAAATGACAGATAAAGGCTAGTTAGTAACTTTGTTAATGTAGATTCTCTGGTACCATCTCTAGGCCAGTAAAGTTCCAATGCTGTATTCAGTGGTTAATTGCTGTTCTTCTTGGTAGAAGGGTAGGCAGGATACCTTTTGTGTTTATAAATCTATGTCTTGCTTTTAGGCAAATAGAGGACAGTCAGGGAGCTTTTCTGAATTTGCTTCTTCTAAATTACCTTCAGCTCAACAATCCTGAATAGTTAGAGATGGCATATTCTGATCTCCCCTATCCCACTCTTTTCAATTCTGATTCCTCTGCTTCTTACACATTTAGGTCCACAAATACAACTAACATCCTTATCCTGCTATTTTTGTTTCCAGTTTTAGATGTTACTTAATTAGATGATGTTACTTAATCAAGATGATTAGGAAATATTATTTCAAAATATTATTCCAAAATAAGGTAATAACCAACATAAAGACTAACCTCTCACAGCAGAATGCAGAAACAAAAAGAAAATGACAAAATCTTCCCATACCTCTTGTAGTCTTGGCTCAGAGCTGTCAAAAGGTCATCTCTGACCATGCAGCCTGCAATCAGTGGAGGAAAGGGATGAATATTCTACCTGCTTTCATGGGAGGCGCTGTAAAATCTCAAGGCACAGGACAAAGATGACAAAATTCAGAAACAAGAACACTAGAGATTGTAGCTTTCAACACTCTGAAGATTGGAGGCAGCCCTTTGTTAAAAAGGCTTATCCAGAAATGCCATGAGATGGTTAAAATGGTTTATATTTTACGGTACACCAAATGCCAGTCCAATATGCAAAAAAAAAAAAAAAAAAAAACACTCATGAAATAACTAAAATGTGTGGCGCTTTTTATGATACAGGAAAAAGAAAAAAGTGAATAGCCTATTATTACTGCAAAAAAAAAAGGTCTGCTCAGTCAACACCAAATTTAGCTCTCACCTAACAAAATTTAACATAAAACCTCTTGCTGTCTGATTACCCTCCAAACTATATTTTATTCACTAATAACTTATAAGCAAAGAGTCATGAGATGATGTTATCTATACTGCTTAATCAGTGTTTCTGGATTGAAACAAATGCATATATTTGTGATGGTGGAGAAATAAGATCTATTTTGTTGAATTTGAAAATGATGGGTAGTCAGGAGCTCCCCAAGAAGATTGGGAGTGATTTTAAATCAACCCATTTCACCCTTGGAAGATCACTGATGCCAAGAAATAACACTTTGGAATAGTCTTATATACAGACTTGGGGTTTTGGTAAGATCTAGTCAAATTTTGTCAATTTTTTGTCAATATTTGGTCAATATTTTCAGAGCAATGTGAAAATAAATAGTTTTGAAGGACTTAAATCAGATCCTCTAGTCTTCCTTTAAATATACTGGGTTCTGGAAACAAAAGCCTTACTTTTATACAACAGAGGTTTTTACTCATTTTCTATAAGAAAAAAATCCAAGATATTTAATGGACTTCTGCTTACAACAACCAAACTGCAATTAACAACACACTTATTAAAAGTGTACAACTGGATAACATATGAAGCATGTTTTTGAAGACAAGAAAGAACTTCTATAGCAATGAGGATTTGGTGAAGGGCAAAGACAGTCCGGGACAAGAAATTCCAGAGTGGTAAACTCAACAGTTGATTGAAAAGTTGAGAAGCTGATGAGAAATTTCAACTATGTCATGAGGCTGGAGGGACAAAACTTGTACTTCAAAGCGTTCCAAAGAGAAAGGACTTCAGTAAAAACTCTGGGATATCATTAAGTACCAGTGAAGTAGTGGACTATATCGTAGGAATAAAGGGTAACTAAAAATAAACCAATCTTCATGAAGACCGGAAATAGCTATGAATTAATTCAACCCCAGAGCTGATTAAGATTATTTGCGTATATGCAAAATACTAGTAGAAGCAAAAGTAAACCCTCTCTGGAGCACAACAATATTCACAGCCTCAAATTATATATAGAATATTTCATACCTATATTCAACAGAACATAAGCATAGCAAGAGATTTGAGCAGATTAAAACAATAAATATCAAAATTAGAAACAAATGCATTGAAGTTATATGATATAAACTTTAATTTTCAATCTAGCTTTGACCAATATGTTTGACATATTGGAAGACAAGCTACATATTTCAGCAGACAACTGGAATATATAGTTTATATATCTATACCCATATTTATACATATATTAATTAAAAAGAAAAATCTACACATAAAATACAGTAAGAGAAATAAATATATCAATAGTTTCACAGGTTAGACTTTGCTGAAAAGAATTTCAATGTTTAAGTCACAATAAAATGTAAGTACTGAAGAATACCAAGAATAAAAAGTGGTAGAAAATCCTACTTATGTGCAAGAACAATCATAGAAGTAGAGAAGAGACTTAAAGGGGCACGACAATTCATAAAATGATAAAGGCCAAGAGTTTTTCAAAGCTGATTTAAAGCACCACTTGGAATATTCAAGAAACCCAAGTAATGTAATCAAAGAAAACCACGCATCATACAAAAACTGCCAAATACCAAAGACAAAGAAACACATATTCAAAAGTCAAAGCAACTTTCAGATTACCTTCAGAGTATAACAATACAACAAATAGCTTAGTGCTGTAAAAAAATTAATGGAAGCCAGAAGATAAATGAATAATACCTTTAGAGTGTGTTTCTATACAGTATTTCTATATCCAGTGAAAATCTTTCAAAAATGAAATTAACTCCAAGAAGACAGGAAAAAAAAAATCCCTTACCATCCTACTATATTTTTAGTGAATGAGACCAAAATACAAACAGCTCATTTGATGCATCGAACTCCCACCTATTAAATCTGTTTCTTATAGAGGATTCAAGTTCAACCAATTTTCTCTATCGAGTTTCAACTTCCTGGTCCAATACTTTTCCTCAGCATTACCAATTAAAAATTAAGGAAACTGAAGGTTATTGAGTATTCCAGGCTTAGGTGATCCAATGTTATCATAAAATACAACCAACTAGTGCTGGAATACCTTGGTCTATTGTGACATCCCGAAAGGTGAGAATATGACATCTATAGCTTTACTTGCAAAGTGAAGTTACTTCAAATTAACTTCATATTAGCAATGATATGCAGGATATGTAAAATATGAAAAGAAACCCACTATATATTTGACAGTTTATTCCACCATTGAGTTAAACTTCAGTTAAGCAATCTCCTTAATGGTAATTTCCAACAATGCTGGGTAACGTCGGCGTTATTTTTTTTCTTTGCTGTAACTTAGTAATAATTTCTGTTTAATTTTATTACGGTTTGGAAGTCATTTTTCTATCCTTCTATCCTAAGCCAAGTAAGGGAAAGAAAATCTAGAAAAAAATCTACCTTTGATTTTTGCCTGCTTTATAACTATATCAGTATAAGCTAGACTTTGTCAGGCTGCCTGAAAATAGGGCATTATAATGCCTATACTTTAGATTATTTTATCTTCTCTTCTAGAGGCCAATTTAGAATGTACCATTTCTATCTCAAATGATTGAGGTATTGCTGACTTTTCAATCGCTCCCTAACATGAAACATACAATTTCTTCAAACTGTTCTGAAGTGCTTTTGTCAACCGCCAAACTGCCGAGGAGGCTCAAGTGCTGGTTTTAATTAACATACTTTATCAAAGTCTTTCAAAGCATTCAACTTTCCTGTGGTTATTTGGCATAGATTCCTTGTTGTTTCAAATAAATTTCTCATCTCAGAACTCTTCAGTTTGTGAATAGGTCCTAAAATTCAAATTCAGTGATACATAATACCAAACTATAATTCATTTGTCCTTTGCAGTAATGGACTTCTCTGCTAAACTTCTGCTTTTTTAACTTTTATTTTAGGTTTGGGGGGTACATATGAAGGTTTTTATATATGTAAATTCGTGGTTGTACAGATTATTTCATCACCTACGTATTAAGCCTAGAACACAAGAGTTATTTTTCCTGATCCTTCTCTTCCCAATCTCCACCCTCCAGTAGAACCCAGTGTCTGTTGTTTCATTCATATTCATGAGTTCTCATCATTTAGCTCTCACTTATCAGTAAGAACACGTAGTATCTAGTTTTCTGTTCCTGCGTTAGTTTACTAAGGATAATAGCCTCCATCTCCAACCATGTTCCCACAAAAGACATGATCTCGTTCTTTTTCATGACTGCAGAATATTCCATGGTGTTTATATACCACACTTTCTTTATCCCATCTATCATTCATAGGCATCTAGGTTGATTTCATGTCTTTGGTATTGTGAACAGTGCTGCAATGAACATTCACGTGCATATGTCTTTATGCTAGAATGATTCATATTCCTCTAGCTATATATCCAGTAATAAGAATGTTGGGTCAAATGGTTAAAATGTTGCTTTTAAAGAAGAAATATAGGCCGGGCACGGTGGCTCACGCCTGTAATCCCGGCACTTTGGGAGGTCGAGGCGGGCGGATCACGAGGTAAGGAGGTCGAGACCATCCTGGCTAACACGGTGAAACCCCGTCTTTACTAAAAAAAAAAAAAAAAAAAAAAAAAAAAAATACAAAAAATTAGCCGGGCATGGTGGCAGGCTCCTGTAGTCCCAGATACTTGGGATGCTGAGGCAGGAGAATGGCGTGAACCCGGGAGGCGAAGCTTGTAGTGAGCTGAGATCGCGCCACCGCACTCCAGCCTGGCTCCAGCCTGGGCAACAGAGCGAGACTCCGTCTCAAAGGAAAAAAAAAAAAAGAAGAAATATAAAATGAACACATATTATGAATGTCGGTAAAATGCAATGTTTGAAATAGTTTCTCTTTTATAGTAATATAGTACCATTCGTTACTAAAATTTTAATTAAGTGTGTTGCTGCAAGGTTTAACTTCAATGATGATGTGCCTCAGGATGATGTATCTCATGAGGTAAATGGGGAAGAAAATTAAACTTAATCATATGAGGGGGCCTAATGAGAAAGAATTGAAGGAAGTTAAAGAAAAAGATGGTAAAATCATAAACTAGACTTTGTGACAATACACTTGTTATGTTTCAACAGAAACTCTCCAGTGATTTAAGATTCATAATTAGGTACTTTTACTGGAAAAAATAGGAGAGCACTACATGAGAGATTAGCTGAAAAGTCGGTTAGGGAACTCGTCGCTGTTATTGCCCTCTAAGTTCATGCCAAGGAGTTTCCTTGGTGTTTAAGGATTGGCCTGGATGATGAATAAAGTAAAAAGATCTGTATCTATGACTATATAGGGGAGGTGAATGTGTAGAATAACAATAGCTCCTGTGGAATGATCACTGACTGGGAGCCAAACAGTGTCCTGAATGTTTTGCATGCATCATAGCATGTAATCCTCACAATAAGTTTATGCATTAGGATCTACTAATTTCCCCATGAATGGTAAGGGCATCGAGGCACAGGGGAACTGGGAACGATAACCGAGGCAACCTCCTTATTAGAATAGCAGCTAAATTAAATATTCTCATGTAGTCTGAAACAATAATTATTAGAATAGTCAATATTACTATATTACCATATTTACAGTATTACTATGAAAACCATTTTTACATAACCTAAAAACAGCATACAAATCAGAACATTTAGCATTTTTCTTTGTGTAGGCTCCAAGAGTTTTCCCAGGAGATTGGGGAAGGGTAGGTAAATGTGTGTTTTTCCAGAAGCACACATCGGGACATCATCCCTACACCTCCATCCATTGATTCTGGAGCCTTTTTATAAACAAGTCTCTAGAAATAAATAGAATAAATATTTCCAAGGAAAAAAAATGTTTAAAGAATGCTGATCTAATTTATGCTATTGATAAGGATTCTCCTGTTATAGATTAGAATATCAGATTGGATTTCAGCAGGAAATAGAAGATACACTCAATTGCAATTAAGATAATTTAATGGAGAGTGTGAGAGTTTAAAGTAACCAATCAAAGATGTTGCAGAACCCAGGGACTCTAAATGGCAGGAAGCCACTACCACCAAGCCTCTATGGCAAAGGGAAGAGCATCAAGGGGAGAGATGTGCAATGGCAGAGATGTTCAACAGAACTTACAGGTGAGAGAGGAGGCAACCACTGCCAGAACTGTGGCTTCCGTGGCCACTCACTGCCAGAAGTGGGGAGGAGTTTGGTGAAGAAATATCCTGACCACTCTGTTCACTCACCCATCAACCTACTGGTACTTTTCTCTATTGACTATCACAAATTCAATCTAAAGCTGAAAGGTAAGAACCTCCAGGCAAAGCTGTCCACAGCCTACTCCTTAGAACACAGAACAAAAGCCAGAGAATAAAAGGAAATTGTTCTGTGGGGAAGGGAGAAGTTATAAATGGAGATTAAATAATATTCTCCACACATTTTCAACTCAGCGTCCATTCTTGACCAACAGAAAGGAAAGCGCAAAGCCCACCTCTCACCAAGTCATCACAGAATGGTGTAAACTCAATCATACTCTCCATAGGTCCAAAATAACAACATTGGCTATATAAGGTTTTAAAATGAAAAAAAAAAATGAATCATTTGATATAAGACATAACTGCAGTAGTTCCTAACTCTCTGGCTAATCACAAGAGATAGGGACTATAGTAGTTTTGTCTTATATCAAATGATAAATAATGTTAATTATAAGTTATTAATATTATAATTAGTATTGATTATAAGTTACCAATATTCTGAGTAATATCATTAGTAATATTAATCAAAATCAATGATCATAGATCTCTTCTTCCTTTATCTAATTCCACATTCTCTTTACCTTACCTAGCCCCTTAGTATGTTGAGATATTTTATACTTTTTGGGGCAAACCAAAATTGTATTCTTATAGAATCCATGCTCATGTTGATTCTGACCTTATTGTTCTAGTTTCTCACTGACATGATTATATTAGGTCAGTGCAAAAGGTAACTGTGGTTTTTACTACTACTTTTAATGTCAAAAACTACAATTAGTTTTGCACCAACCTAATACAATATAGAATTACCAGGAAATTCCTTAGGAAGCATCCAGGTCTAAGCCTAGTCCCTCACTACTTTGCCTAGGAGTAACCCAATTTTCTCTTGGTAATTTTGATAAAACACCACAGTTTACAAGTTGATCCTTTCATTTGCTTGTGAGTTCAGTGAAAGGGAAGTCCAAAATGACAAGTTGGTAGCCTTATCTTCCAGTTTAATGGAATGACCTTGACACAGATGTGTCTGTCTTGGGTGTCTGCCAATCCAACTGACCTCAAGTTTGTGTAGATAGGAAGAAAAACCATCTGAAGGAACTGTTAGGTATTAGAGTGAAAGGGCACTCCTCATTCCACCCACTGATATAACAACCATGGGGAACAGCACAATATATGCCCACAGTGTATACAAAAGGACATTAACTTTTCTGGGTTTTTTTTTTCTCCCTCTCTCAGATGGCACTGCAATTGAGGCATCAGTTGGCCATTTCCAACATTCTATCAGACCAGCTGATTTTAAGGGATGAGCACACATAAAATCAGCAAATTCTGTGGCATGATTCTTAGCACCCTTTGTTAGTGTTAAAATGAATTCCTTGATAAGAGGCAGTGTTGTATTGGCTAAGTACAAAGGAATAAGGTATTCCTTATGTGTATCAATAGTGGCACTGGCAGAAGTGTCATAGGAAGGAATGGTTAGACTGTATCCAGAAAAACTTTCTATTTCTGTGGAAACAAACCTCTGCTCGCTTCATAAAGGAAGACTTTCAGTGTAATCAATCTGAAATTGCATTGCTGGTTAGTCCACTGGAAAATATGGTATCATATTGACTCAGCATTCACCTTTCCTTTCAGCATTTGGGCACAAAGCAGCTCAGCTTTGGTGAGGCAAAGTCCATGTTGTTGAGCTCATGCATAGTTTTTATTCTTGCCTACGTAGCCACTTGGTACATAGGCCCATTCAGCAAGAGCCAGGAATCTGAAAACAACTGTAGAGAAAGCCACAGAACAGGTCTTCATGTCTAGTTCATTACTGAGATCCTCCTCTGTAGTGGATGGTCTTTAGGACACAAGCATCTTTGCACTTTGTGCTTTTTTAAATAGGCCAATTCACATAACACATCACCACTACCAACCCCACATCCCAGACTTTCCTAGCAGCAATATTCCAATCTTGTCCTTTCTAAGTCCTTGACTTGCTAGTTGACCCATCAGGCATTGCTCAGAAGTTAGGGTAGAATTAGACCTTTCCAAATAGAGAAACTGTAAAATGTACTGCTCAGATTTCTGTCAAATAGGAAGATTTTCTTTCCATCCATCAGGACTATCCCTGTGTAGATCTATAATGCAGCAGCTGACTACTTATAGTTGTTGACAGCCACACAAAATGCTGACCCATTATTAAATCAGGCCTCTCTGTATTCTTCTTGTCCAAACTGGTTAATTGGATCCTCTTCTATTATTAGAAACCTTATTAAGTTTCCATAACTGAGGGTTGGAAGTGACAGTGAAGCACTCGAAGGGGTGCAGTGGGTGAGCTCCATGTGTTATGCAATTTACTTGTGTCTTCCAAACCTACTGAGGCCTGGTCTTGCACATATGATTTCCATTAATAATGACATACTGCTGCATGCAAATAACCTTATTATTTTATGGATCAAAAAATATTACATGAGCAGCTGAGGTTGCCAGGTGACTTGATGTCTTGTGATTAGGAGTGCAGTAGTGGTCTAGGAGCATTTTTTCCAATAGATAATAGTGACAGGCCAGAGAGATCATCAGTTTTGCATCAGTATCTTAGGGATCTCCACTGTGATTCTACCCAGGGGCTACACATGCCTGCACTATCTGCCATAGACACTTCAAATACTGCTGGATGCTCAACAATAGGTCCAGATGTCAAGGCAGCTTGCAGTAGAGCATGGACTTTTTGTTAAGTCGTCTCTTGATCTGGATTTCGTGCCAAACTTGTAGCCTCATAAGTGATCCAATAAATGTGTAAAAACAGCTCACTCAATCTGTTATATATTGTCTTCAATATCCAAATAGTTACACCAAACATATTGCCTCTTTCTTCATGGCAGGCCATGGAAGGGACAGCTAATGTTTCTGACATTGGAGGGTGTATCCCGTGTATCTTAGATAACTGGACTATTGGAAACTTCAGAATGGGACAGCTTTCCATTTCCTAGGGTTTAATCTCCTACGCTCTGGCACAGCTATGTCTTCTTGAAACATCCAGGGTACTTGTTCCTTCTTGGTCTTCAGATCCAATGAGCAAATGTACCATTAATGTAATAGATCTGCTGTAATGTTCTGTGGGACTTACAATTTCTAAGGACACTCAAGATGATTATATGTCAGAGAGCAATTTATAGCCATAAAACAAGACATTGAAGATGTACTCTTGAAATACTCATCAAAGTGTACATCTTCATGTGGAAGAGAGATATACACTCTTTCCTATCTTCTCAGAAAAAAATATATATATACACAGAGAGAGAGAGAGAGAGAGACAGAGACAGAGACAGAGAGAGAGAGAGTCAACTTCTGTGTCCTAGGTAGTACCAGGGGATGTGGCTTATTTTCTTTAGTAAAGAGACCACATAGGCATAAAAGCCAGTTAAATTTTACAATAACCCACAGTAACCTCTAAGACCTATTTGATTTTTGTACCAGTCAAGTAGATGAGTTAAACAGGGATATGATATGAACCATTTTCTCTGCATCACTGTAGTCTCTGGTGGGAAGTATAATTTCTATGTAGAATTAATCTCTGCTCTTGAATTCCTTTTTGGCTGGGAATGACATGTCCATACACACCCACTTGGCCCTTCCTGTCAAAATAGTCTTCATTCTATGGCTCAGAAAACCACTCTGTGGATTTAAACAATATAACCAAGTATTTTTATTTAAACTATACATTTAGGAACTGGGGAACAATAATAATTTTTAATTCAAACTATGGAAGAGACTAGGCCATAACTTCATTTCACTAGACCTACATAGCCTCACTCCCTCTAAATCTGACCCAAGGACAATGGTAGAACTGTGGGTCTCTGTGATTTAGTGTCAATTTAGAACCAGTATCTAATAACATCTGGAATATTGAGGTATTCTCCCTGATTCAGAACACGTTTATCCCAGTATATGACGGTAAGTTTCTTGGGAAAGATTTAGAAGAAAATGTATAAAATACATTGCAATATGAGAAGTTTCTTCTAATTATAAGTAGAAGTTTCTTCTTCATAAGAACCTAAATCCTCACTCAGTAAAGGGACAACAGCTCTGTAAAGGGACCTAAGTCTATGAACCAGGTAAATATCCATGAATACCTATGATATTGACAATATTCAGGTTTCTGACCTCTGGACAAAGAATTGTTTTAATCTTATAGTTCAAGCAATTGTTCTGTAGGACACCTATTTGTTATGGATAGAACCCTGTGATCAACTGGCTTGGACAACAGATCCCTGTGGGTCAAAAACATCATTTCAAATTGCTCCCATGCTTATTATGATAATTACAACCCTTCTATCTTGGAAGGTTAAACATTACTATTACAGGATCCAATATTTCCATTGAAATCAGAAGCCTAATTTCCTGGTAACATCTCCCAGGGCCTTTCTGAGATGCTAGTACTCCCTTCAACAATGTATTTTTAACAACAACAATTCCTTTTTCTTGGGAAAAAGGAATCTTCTCAAAAAGGGTTCTCTTGAATGCTACAATTACTATATAACCACAAATAGGTTGTGCACAGTAAATGAATTCTGTATTTCTTGAAATATTTCTGTATTTCAAGACTTTAGAAACTCTTCTTCTACAGTATGGCATGGAAGTTCCAACATATCAAACTTACTGATTTTGAGAACAAGTGGTAAGTCCAGGCTTCTATTAATCAGCCTTAAATATATTGCCAAATACACAGTCAAACATATTGGTTCAAGTACCTGAGACAAAGTTAATTTTCAGAGTGCTAATATTGCTTCAGGCAATATTAACTTTCAGAGTGTTAATATTACTCTAGGTACTCGAACCAATATACTCACAATAAATTCTGATTAAGTGCATCTAAACTGATCAATTCTTCGAGACCAAGTTTTATATTTAGCTCTCTTTGATATAAAATCATCAGAATACATTTTAATGCATGCCTTTCAGCCGCTTGGTGATCAATTTTGGCAAGATTTTTCATTTTCATTGCCTTGTGTCCTTTCTTTTCTAAAATGAGGTATTGCAATTCTTTCTCTGATCCATGGACAATAACTAGAAAAACTGAATAAAACAATAACTGGTAGAACCATTAGATTTGTTGTGATAATCACATTGATTTAAGTGACACGAGGAGGTTCAGCAGCAAAATTAACAACAAGTTAATCTTGCCGATGACTTTAACTGCTCACCTCTTATCTTATTCTGAGAGGATATCTTTCACTGATTCATTTCACTTAACACTCCAATCCTTCTGCTATAAACTCATACCTTAATCACAGCTTAACATTATGTTTCTAGTTGAGCATAACTCATAATTTAATTGCTTTGTACAACTGTTCTGATACTTACTGTTTTTCTTTAAATTTACCTTACTTTTTACAGATACACATGCTCTGACCTTATCCTAACCATTCAATTCTCTGAATCATCATTGTTTGTTAGCTGTGTTTTTTCTAATAAATAAAAACACAAATATACACATAACTATTTTTAAAATAATCCATTTTCACTTAAAATTCTATTATTCATACATAAGTGAGAATAAACTATCTACTTTTACATACCTCATATAGAAAAACTGGACAAATACTAAAGAAGCAAAAAAAGTCACCCAAAAAAGAGCATGTAGTAAAAGATTTCATCTTCATTATAAGAAATCATATATAGAATAAAAATACATATATATATACGTACATACATATATATACATATATACATATACAAACATACATATATACATATATATATATATACACATATATAGAATAAAAATGTAGAGTGTTCTACCTTGTTGCCCAAGGCATTGTCTCTTTAGATTATCCAATATTATGTCAAATATCTATCACCCCAAGTTTCATAGCATGTTACAGGCCACAAAGCAAGAGTGCCTTGTGCTTTCAATATAGGGCTTTTAATGTTTTACAAAGAGTTTAGAGAAAGGAGTTTTGAAATTTCTTTTATTTGGACATTTTAACTTTCATCTCTTTCTAAGATTCTTAAAAACATAACACTTAAGATCTTAGCTAAAACATAACACTGAACTCAATTCCTCTTTCTTTTTGCTCTTAGTCTAGGTTACTGGGACCATATAGGTGTTATCTTGACACTTTGTGCACTTTCTCTCTGAACTTTTCCTTAGAACTATCATTCCCTTACCTCACTGACTTCCATGCCTATCTAAACACAAATACAAAAAAGAATTACATTCCAAAGTGAGTGCTTCCACTACTTCCACTACACTTGAATTCTGGGTGAGTTTGATGAATATATTACCTATACCCCAGGTCTACAAGTCTGTGAACTACCATTAATATAGTTAATAGATTACGTAACAAATATGACTTACTTGACTAAAATTTTGCTGACCCTTTAGATCTTTTGTCAAGCCAAGTAAGCTCTCTGCAAGTATTTGGTACATAATGATTCAAGTGTTGTCACTTGAGTAATTAATTTTAAAGTATTCTTCAAAAAGCTGCAATGGTGGCAATTTTTTACGCATTGCTGTTTATTTTTACATACCATTTAAGTAAATTGTGCAAATCAGATTAGTCATGTTAATGTGTGTGTGTGTTTGTGTTTACATGTATTAACACAGCTCAGGTATTTATAATAGTAATTAATTTAATCATGATGAGAGGACCACAATGATTACTTGAATTGAATCTTGATGCTAATTTGTATCCTATGGATCTTAGTGGTGTTTAAATTATTTTATTATGAATAAAACTATAAAGAAAAGAGTATGTTTTGAAAATAGAGTCCACAACTACTTTAGAAAGCTTGGAAAATCTTAGTATGCCTCAGAGTATCCAAACTAAACTCAATCAACTACATGATTCACCTGTTTATGCAATAGAAAACATTAAAAATTGAATTAAAAAATAGTAAAGTACATTGAAAATCATAAAATATGAAGTAAAGCCGTAACTGAGACTATATTAATAATGAGAAGACATTCTATGTTCATTGATTGAAGACTTATTAATAAAATATCTATGCTACCCAAAGTGATCTACAAATTTAATGTTATACCCACAAAAATTCCAATTACATTCTTTTTCGGGAAATAGAAAAAAAAAAATAATATGAATGTGGAACCACAAAAGACTCTGAACAGCCAAAGCTACCTTGAGAAAGAACAAAGCTGAAAATAACATACTTCCTGATTTCAAGTATATTATAAATATAAACTAATAAAAACAGTATGGTGCTGGCATAAAGACAGACATATAGATGAATGGAGCCAAATAAAAAGCCCAGAAATAAACCCACATAGTCAGCTGGTCTTCAACGGGGGTGCCAAGAATTCAAAATGGAGGAAAGACACTCTCTTCAACAAATGGTGTTAGAAAACTATATATTCATGTGCACGTGACTTACATTAGAGTTTTATACACAAAAAACTAAGTAAAAGTGGATTAAAGAGTTAAATGTATAACCTCAAACTCTAAGACTCCGAAAGGAAAATATAGAAGAAAACCTTGATGACACTGCTCTTAGTCATGATTTCTTGGGTATGACTCCAAAAGTACAAGCAACAAAAGCAGAATAGCCAAGTGGGATGATATCAAACTGAAAAAGTCTTCCGCTCAGCAAATGAAAAAATCCACTGAATAAAAAAGCAACATACACAATGGGACAATATATTTGCAAACCACGTATCTGATAAGAGGTTAACACTGAAAATACATTAAAAAACTCTTAAAACTCAATAGTGAAACAAACAAATTAAACGATTAAAAATTAGCAAAACACTTAAAAAGACATTTCTCCAAAGAAGATACACAAATGGTCAAGATGTATATGAAAAGGTACTCCGTGTCACTAATCACCAGGGAAATGCAAATCAAAGTCACAGTGATATATCACCTCATACTAATTAGGATGGCTATTACCAAAAACACAAAAGATTATAAATGTTGGGGAGGGTGTGTAGAAATATTAACAATGTTGGTGGGAGGGGTATAAAATGGTGTAGTCATTAGGAAGAACAACACAGAATTTCCTCAAAAATTTAAACTTAGAACTTCCATATGATCCAACAATCCTACTTCGGGGTATATGCCCAAAATAATTGAAACCAGGATCATGAAAAGGTATGTGCCCTGCCATTACTTTTCACAGTAGCAGAATTATGCATACAACACAAATGTCCATTGACAGATTAATAAATAAAGAAAAGGTGGTATATATTTACAATGAAATACTACTGAGCCTTAAAAGGAAGTCAATCCTTCCATTTTTAACAACATGGATGAGCTCAGAAGATGTTGTGCTAAGTGAAATAAGCCAGTCACAAAAAGGAAAATACAGCATATTTCACTTGTACGAGGACCTGAAAAACTCAAACTCAAAGCATAGACTACAATGGTGGTTACCAGGGACCAGGGGAAGGAGGAAATGGAGAGTTGTTCAATTAGTATAAAATTTCAGTTATGCAAGATACATTAGCTCTGGGTATTTGCTGTATAGCATAGTGCCTATATAGCATAGTTAGCAATACTGAACTATGTTCTTAAAAATTTGTTAGGAGAGTAGATTTCATGTTAAATATTTTACTGAATACCAAAAACCAAAGGATCACAGTAATCTTCTAGAAGTAATGGATATGTTTATTACCTGGATATTGTACTCATGGTTTTATGAGTGTATATATGTGTCCAAATTCAAAAAATAATCATAAATTTAATGTGTTGAGTTTATTGCATATCAATTATACCTCAATAAAACTGATTTTTACAAGAGGATTTGATTCAATGACTTGGTGTTGATGAGCCTAGCATCTTGATAGATAACGAAGTTAACATTAATAGATAATACACATAACACTTTTACTAAAAATCTTCCAGACACTTGTCTAGTTGAAGTCAATTGAACTGTGATTTTTGGTAACTTTTTATGTGAGATTAGTGTTGATACTCAAATTATAAGTATAATTAGCTGCTATTTTTAAGCAAATGCTTGACTTTGTGAAGGTAAGGAATTTAGTAGAATTGAACTATTAACTTTGTGGCATTTTCAACATGTGGTTGTTAGTTTCCAATGACACTTTTAGACACTAGAGTCCTTGAGGAGAGGATCCCTCCTTCCACTCCGTGACACTGTGCCCAGATAATTGTAAATGAACAGCAAGTATTTAATGGCTTGCCTCTAGTGTGTGGGAACCTGTAATGCTTGCTGAAGTCTAATGAGGCCCTGATAAGACAGTAAGCAGAAGAGATTGGTGACTTAACTAGGACAACTCGCTTGCTTAACTTTTACCCAAATTTTCAAGCTTTCTGCGTGACAGGGGTTCAGTGTATAGCTTTTTGGCAAAGTGACATACATCAAAATTTAAATTGAGAAAGACTCAACCTTTTCCTTTTAAATGAGAGAGCTGACAATTTTGCGAGTCTTAAGTATTTCATCTGTCACTGGCCACCCAGTGTCTTGTTAATGATTTTTCCCCTTTAGATGACAAATCCAACTGATTAACTGTCCTAATTGCTACTGTACACATCCTTCCTTAGCAGGAGTCTGAGTGATTTGGAAGATATTTGTTAACTCAAAATTTGCTTAAGACTTTAACATGCAGACAGAAATTTTTAAATAAATATATTCATAACACTCATTATACTTTGTGGCTTTGTTAAAAGGACAAAGTAAACTTATATGTGTCCTGATTTATCTGAGTAGTAAAAATATGTGAAACCTTAGGAAAAGTGTCTATAATATATGACAAATTTAACATAAACATTTTGAAGAAGAGTTGTAGACGTAACTGAAATGTTTATTACTCTAAAGAAAAATTACTTTTGACTCATTTTTAAAATTAATCCTCTTAAGGGGCTTAAATTCTATGTATCACATTCCTAATATGTATCAATTTATGCAACATAACTTCCCAAAATTAAACTGATTATTTAAAGAGGGCATACATAAAAAATAACAATTATTGAAAAATGTTTTGCTTCATCTCCTCCTGTTTTAAAATCAAAACAAAATTTTCCTTTGTCTCCTCCTTTTTTTAAAATCAGAGTAATTCTATTTTACTATCACTTCATGTTAATGAAAAAATCCAATACATAATTTTCTCAGGGTAATTTTAGCAATTATAGTAACCTACATTATTTATTTTAAAATGACACTCAGCGACTACACACACTAAAACAAAGAGATAGATTTAGTTCCAACCAATAGTGAAAATTATCTAATCTTAAATACATTTTTCAATTCTGTGATTGTAATGCATTCATTTTTAAGATGTCTGCTGTTTGGAAACAGAGACCTCTAAGAGGTAAATAACAAAAGCAGGAAGCTCAATTAAATGACAATTGTAATAATTAATGTGAACGATGAGAATAGTTTGATCCATGGTTAGAGTAGTAAACATATGTAGATATGTAGTAGTAAACATACGTAGATATGTGGATATGTTTACTATTCTAACCATGGATCAGACTATAATCATCTATATAGCCAACAGAATTTACTGATGGATAACATTAGAATATAAGAGAAAGGAAAGGATCAAGCTTTAGTCCATGATTTTTTTTCCAAAGCAATTCTTAGAATTTCATTTAGTGAGATGGGGAAGACTACCAGCTATTCAGATTGAGGAGAGATGGAACCAAGATTTTAGATTAGGTCATAATAACTTTGGGGTGGCTATGATACATGTGACCTAAGATTATGAATAGGCACAAGAGTATAAAAGTCTGCATTTTTTAAAAAAGAGGTCTTGAATGGAAATAAAAATCCATAAGCATATAGATTGTATTTAAAACTATGAGGGTGAACCAGATCACTTAAGTATGAACATGTTTGGTCAAGTGTAGAGGTTTATAAACCTGACTTCAAAATTTAGTCATGGGGAAGATGAGACAGAACCAATAAAAAAGAGAAAATAACTGTGTCAAATGCTGCTAATATGTCAAGAAGAGAATTGAGAATTGTGGCTTTTTAGTAAAATAGCCACAATTACCTCTACTTCTAAGTTCAAGATGGCACAGGGTCTGTGAGTCAACGCAGAGCCTCCCTTAGATTTACCAACTGTTCCTCACGGTGAGTACTGTTGCCTTTGACCAAAGGGATATGAATAGTTTTTGCTGGAAATAATAATAGATAGGTCTGTGAAATTTTGCCATCCTTTAGTGTCAAACACTGAAGGAAATGATATAGAGATATTTATCACAATAAATATCATTGGCAAGGAGTCAATATAATAAATATTTAATTCGGTTTATTTTAATCTTCTAACAACAACCATATGAATTTCAATCAAACTTTGAAAGATAACGAGTGGGAGAATTTCTGCTTCTGGGACGATGGAGCAGAGATATTTTTCCTTATTCCAACCATTAGGTAACCTGGGTATTATACATCAAACAAGCATAAGAAGACTCAGAAAGTTGGAGAGAAAACACATGTGCCAGTAAACTCCAGACTTGAAGAACAAGTTGGTGAGTTCTCTGGATTTTCTTTCTGCCTCTTCTATCCAGAAAGGATACTGGAGAAGATGGCAATCCTTAAGTTCCCATGAGAGCAGAAAAAAGAATGCTAAGAAAGCCTCCTTTCTTTATTTAGCCAAAGGACTAGGATTAGGGCAACCTAGAAAGACTAAAAAACACAGAAAACTTTTAGACAATAATCACTCTATCCCAGCATACCACTGCAGAAAAAACCATCCTCATCCTGATAAGGAAAGTTTGAATGAAAAGAATACATTTCCATCTTTTCCAGGTAGCACTGAGACACACTCAAGTCTTCCCTCTGACAGGGTAGCATTAGAAATGTGTAAGTAGGGAACCAGAGATTTTATCCCTGCCAAATGGTAACACCTCTCCTCACTCCATGGTGTCAGTGGATATCAGGAGGTATGTCTGTACATTTACCCCAACCATCAGTAACAAGCTATTCCTCCACTTTCTCTGTAATGTTTTATCAGGTAAGGACTCGTCCAGAGTCAAGACTTTTGCCACTACTCAGTAATAATGAGACCATATCCTTCCCTGTGGTGTTGGTGGAGGCCCCACATGCGGAATAATAACGAAGAGCTACCCTTGCTCCCAGGCAGGATGGTATCACCTGAAGTTTAATAGGGAGCTTGAACTATAAGAGTGGACCAGATCGCTTAAGTGTGAAAATATTCAGTAAAAAGCAGAGGTCTAAAAAGCCTGACTTCAAAATTTAGTCAGGCTACACCCAACCTGTGGTAACAAGGATCTTCTCTTCATTTCAGATGTGAGTGGAGGCTGTGAAAAACTTGTACTTGTATGCTCACCTGACAGTAATAATAGGGTACACATGCGTACCCACTATCTACTACAGTGTCATCAGACAAGGGCTGCTAAACACAAGATTTAAATAGCCAGAGTCTTATAATACCTCAAATGTCCAGGTTCAGTTGGAAAATCATTCATCATACATAGAATGAATAAAAGCTCTAGCTGAATGAGAACAGACACTCAACATACTCTGACACCAAAATTACAAGGATACTATTTTCTAATAGGCTTTTAAAGCAGGTGTCATAACAGTGCTTCAGTGCATGATTATGAATATACTTGGATCCAGGGAAATTTGTTTTAGTACATAAATAAAAGATATAAAGAATGAAATAAAAACGTGAGCATAAATAATGTAATATCAAAAATAAAATACTCACTGAATGGGCTTAATAACAAAATGAAGGAAAGAGAATAATCCATGATCTTGAAGATAAAATGATAGAAGTTACTCAAGCTGAGAAACAGAGAGAAAATAGGAAAAAAAAAAAAAAAACCTTAGAGAGATGTAAGAGTATTAGAAAGACCTAACATCTGTGTAATTAAAATACGGAGAGGAGAGGAGAGAAAAGGCACGGCTCAAAAAGTACTCAGAGATGAAATATGAAAACTTCACAAATTTTACAAGAGACATTAACTTATACATTCAAAAAGCCAGGACAAACCCAAACAAGATGAAGCCAAAGAAATCTATGGCAAGATTCACGACAGTCAAACTTCTGAAAAAAAAAAAACTAAGAAAAAATATTTCATGTAGCATAGAAGAAATGACATTTTACTTACATGAAATAATTCAAATACCACTAACTATATAATCAGAAAACATGAAGGCCAGAAGTAAGTGGCAGAATGCTTTCACCTACTGACGGAAAACAAAACAAAACAACCAAGCAAACAACAAAAACACTGTCAATGCAGAATCTTTAGCAAAAATATCTTTAAAGAGTGAAGGAAAACTCAACATATCTTACTCTTGACCTACACAACATATTGTAAGAATATACCCATGATAGCTGCTCATGAAAGTGTATAAATTTCAAAAGTGAAATATGCCATTATTTGGCATTACAGTGCACACATTCTAAAATCACATGAAGAGCTTTACTGCTCCTAATTTCTCATATTAGATTCTGCTACCAATGGTGTACCAAGGAAACTGTGGGACAAAACATTATCTTTTGTTTAACCTTTATTTCTAACCATATTTTTAGGGATATGTGGTGGTCTGAAGTTAAATATAATGCAAAATATAAACATTTACCATGACAAATATTTTTTGAGTAGTTGTGAGAATTTTGTCATTTATTTTGAATTACTTTTATTAAATAATTATTTCTCAAAACAGAAAAAGAATCTAATGATTATACAAAATGGTGTACTTAAACACATACTTTAGAGATTAATATACTTAACTAAGAGATTCAGAATATATCAGTAGCTTCTTATGTAAAATATTGTAAAATGTGTACTTTCAAGGAATATATGTCTTCTCATTGTCATTTTCCTTCAAATATTTGCTGAAATCCTTTTCAGTTCTTAATCTAGCTATAACTTGTTTAAACATCTGCCAATTTTACAGCTTTGGAAATTCTGTAGCTATTTTTCCAATTTTTGCTAATTCCAGGATATTAAACCATTAATGTCCTAACAGCTCCCAGCACCTTCATTCATTTTAATCATATTTCTTATTTTAATATATATAAATCCAGATAAAAATCTCATCAATTCTTAGGGTTTGTAGAAAAAAAAATCCACTCACATACAATTTTAGAAGATGGTAATGAAATATTTTTAAAATAATTAAAATAGTTTCAGAGACATTCAAAACCAAAACCAAGTATAAGTAACTCTATGGAAGACTAATGAGATTCTTGACCACTGAAAATTATCTAGCCTACAATGATAGTTTATAAGGGCTAGATGTTTTATATTCCCACAAAAAAAATACATTAAAATTCTGGGGAAAAAATTTAAGGAATTTCTGTTAGATTACACAAAATAGTAATGAAGCATTTCTAAGCTTTCTAGATATTAAAATAGGCTCTTTTACTTATTTTTCTTATTATTTATCCACTCTCAGTGATAAAGAGAGTGGATTGCCACATGAATACATAGACAATAAATAGCTTTACAGAATGAAGTCAAAAAGTTTATTCGAATACACCGGAATATTCATTATATAATAAAAGCATTTCATAACTATAGGGAGATAATGGACTCTTCAAGAAATCATGTTTACGCAATTCTGAGACCCACTAAAAAGCTTGGTGCCAAATCACACTCCTTTCAATCAAATACATTTGATAAATCAACACTATTCCTTTTGAATGTGAAAAAAAAGACAAACTCCGAAAGCTGAAAAAAATGAGTAAGTTTGACTAAATGAATCTTCAACATGAAAAAGAATAACACAAAATTAAATATCCCACTTTCAAAAATGAATGGAAATAGAAATCAACAAGGAAAAAGCAGCCTTGGACAACACTATAAACCAACGACATCTAAAACACGTGTATAGCACACTCCACCAAACAACAGCAAAGTGTGCATTCCTCTTCACTATACCAGAAGCCTTTTTCAGAGGACTGCATGCTGGGTCATAAAACAGATAGAAATATTATAAAATATGTTTTCTAAACACAGTAGAATGTACACATGATCTCTGAATTATGAAGATTTGACTTATGATCTTCTGACTTCGCAATGGTACGAAAGCAATACATATTCAGTAGAAATGAGATTTTGAGTACCCATACAACCATTTTACTTTCAGAACTCAATAAATTATATGAGATACTCAACACTTTTTATAAAATAGCCTTTGTGTTAGATGATTTTGCCCAGCCATAGGTTCACGTAACTATTCTGAGCACATTTAAGTTGGGCTAAGCTAAACTACGATGTTCGGTAGCTTAGGCGCATTAAATGCATTTTTTATTTATGATATTTTCAACTATGTACTCACTAAGAGTAAAGTTGTAGGAAGCGACAATCTTATCTCTGTCCTTTGGACCTAATTAATTACAAAAATCTTTCATAACAAACTCTATGTATCCCTATTTTAATGTTTAACAGACAATTTGCTCATTAATGAATTTTCAAACACTTGTGGCTGGATAGAAATTGTCTATTCAAAAAGTAATGAGAAAAACACTTCCAGCTTTCTGACAGGTTGTTTTTAAAGACTCTTTAAGTGAAAACACTTACTTGCAAGAGGGAAAACTGTTCTGCAGCCTGATTTGCATGTTAACTTTTTTAAAAGTGCCATTTTCTCAAACATCAGTAGTTGCTATATTTCAAAAAGTTCCAGCTTTTTAGGTATATTTTATAGGCAAACGGAATGTTTGTATAATAGTCTGAAACTTAAACCTTGAAATTTATGGAAACAGATTAAAATATACAAATTGAAGAGCTTTGTATTTGTCATTGAATTATCTTTTCTTGTCAAACGAATGACTGCCAGTAAATGAAGGCCATTCATCTCTTTAGAAAATACAGTTTTTAAATAAAAGTCTAGCGATTAGTACATAGTTGAATTATTATTTTGCTGATGATTAGTAAATGAAATCTAGTTATGAAGAATACTGAATTTCAGTTTGAATACCCACTTTTTAAATTTCAACTTTAAATGTTGTAACCTCAGTCAAATTCATTAAGATCTCTGTTCTTCATTTATTCATCTAGCAAGTTGTACCTACCTTGTAGTGTGTTATCAATGAGAAAAGTATCCCTTGCTTTCTTACGTTTGTTTCTATGATTTCCATTATTGTTTCCATGACTGTAAACATATTTTACAGGCATTGCATGGATAAAAATTACGTGGCTCTTCATTTATATCAGGACATAGCAACTGTTGTTTAATATATTTTATAAACATAATTCTTGAAATTACTGCTCTATTTCTGTCATTTTCTTCACATCAAGCAGCCTTCTTTGGCTTTTAGATACAAGTATTACACAGCTCCATAAAAACCTCGATTTTTCTCTCATTTATTTTATTCTATTATAAAATTTACTGAGAAAAAATAAATGGCACATTTCAGTTATGAAAGTAGTATTTAAGTAAAAGAGACGTCTTACAAATTCATATAATAAATAGATTCAACTTTGAATCAAATATCTAGGTGAATTCTTCCTATTGAATACTTGGCATTTTGAATGAATCATATTTTCTTCTGAATATTTTCAGATTGAATAAAATGATAAATTTTCTTTTGATTAGATTACTCAAATCTAGATGTTGTCATCATTGAGGATAAACAAAACTTGCAAATTACTTCTTCTTTTTAAGCAGAAATAAGTAGATTTTTTAAACAAATGAAATGGAACATAGAATTTCTAATAAGTATTAAAGATCCATTTAATTATGATGACAAATGCTGCTATAAAAATAATTTTTATGTCCAGGTTATAAATGAATGAATACAAAACAAATGATTGTTGCATGCATAAGAAATAAATTTTGGATTATGGGTGTGTTTTAATTATTTAATGTATCTTAATTATTTCATGACAAATGGTATTGTCAAAAATTTAAATATCAGCCCAGGCGCTGTGGCTCACACCCGTAATCCTAGCACTTTGGAAGGTCGAGGTGGGAGGATCACTTCAGGTCAGGAGTTCAAAACCAGCCTGGCCAACATGGTGAAATCCCGTCTCTACCAAAAATATAAAAAATTTAGCCAGGCATGGTGCCTGGCGCCTGTAATTTCCAGCTACTTGGGAGGCAGAGGCAGGAGAATTGCTTGAACCTTGAAGGCAGAGGTTGCGGTGAGCCGACATCGTGCCACTGCACTCTAGCCTGGGCGACGGGGCAAGCCTCCAACTCAAAAAAAAAAAAAAAAATTAAATATCAAAAAATGGTATAATCTTTTTTATCTTACCCAAATCAAAAGAAATATAAATTTAAATAACTTTCCAAATGTGTATATATAATTCTTTTATAATAATTATATATATTATTTAGATGTTATTTCTTTATCCACATGTATTAAATATGCTTCATATTTCTGTTCATACCATTTGGCAATTCTGAGTAAACAGGGTAGGGTCTCCCAGGTTCCCTGCTTTTTCTGGATCCTGAATGAAAAATCAAGAAATGCCTAAAACACTGTGTGACCCAGACAGCTACAAGTTTTTCCCAGCGAACTTGAACCCAAACCAGGGACCTGAACATTTCCAGGCACTGGTAAATCTGTCTA
The DNA here is from genome assembly GCF_000001405.40 of Homo sapiens. Classification (NCBI taxonomy): domain Eukaryota; kingdom Metazoa; phylum Chordata; class Mammalia; order Primates; family Hominidae; genus Homo; species Homo sapiens. Next base: position 13,886,825 of record NC_000008.11, on the reverse strand, counting down.
GGTTGTAGCTCAAAACACTGATACTGGCTTCAGCCCTGAGCCAAATTTTCATAAACCCTCATATAAATTTCATCCTCTGACCACCTGGCTGGGGACATACCTAGGTAGAACATTTCTTTCTCTTGCTATCCGTCCTAAGGCTGTGCTGCATCATTCGGTAACAAATTTCCCCTCAATGAATCCTTTGGCCTGAACACCCAGGTGTTTCTTCCCTCTTTCTTGGAAATCCCAACCAGCTCCATCGTCCACCGATTTGGGGCATTCCTTGTAGGAATCCCTCTGCCACTGCTTTTGGGGGAAGGGCAGCTATGGGTTCCTTGGGATGAAGCCATAGGTTAGAAAAAAACATAAAATCCATTTTGAAATTGTAATTAAAATGCTTTTGCATACCTACATTAAAGGAAGACAATTTTTTTTTTTTTTTTTTGAGACAGAGTCTAGCTCTGTCACCCAGGCTGGAGTGCAGTGGCGCGATCTCGGCTCACTGCAAACTCCACCTCCCGGGTTCACGCCATTCTCCTGTCTCAGCCTCCCGAGTAGGTGGGACTACAGGCGCCCGCCACCACGCCCGCCTAATTTTTCTATTTTTAGTAGAGATGGGGTTTCACCGTGTTAGCCAGGATGGTCTAGATCTCCTGACCTTGTGATCCGCCCGCCTCGGCCTCCCAAAGTGCTGGGATTTCAGGCGTGAGCCACCACACCCAGCCAAAGGAAGACAATTTCTATAAAAACTTCCAAAGTGGAAAAAGTTCTGCTTGAACTGTATGTGCACATAGTGTTCAGCAGATGTGTTCAGCAGAACTGTTTACAACATGCTCTGAGCGTTTGTAATGTCACACTGTAGCTGGGTGGAAATACTGATTAAATAGAGGAAAGAGGTATTTTGTAATGTGAAAATGCTTTCATTGTTTAGAAATCTCTCCATTGCAAGCTATAGACCTAAATAATAAACTGGCATATATATTCTAGCTTTAAAATAATGGTAATTTGTGGTACATATACTCAAAGCTGGAACATGCCTTGAAGTTGGGGATGGGGGTGCTTTAGTCAGACATGCATGCGTGCCTTCAAACACTGCAATTTGACCCATCTCCCTTCTCTATATTCCATCCTGTCTGCATCATTTTAATGCTGGAAACCTTCATGGTCACAGAATGGCTGCCAGCCAGCTTCCACAACAATAGCCTTTCCCATTCAATTCCAGTAAATGAAATGATTCTCTCCAACGAAATCTTATTGAAAATAAGAAATGCTTGATCCCGAAAAGCCCTCACAGAAATGATATATTTTTACTCATATCTCATTGACTTTAATGACACCATATGCCCATCCTTGAACAAAAACAAAAACAAAACACAACAAAAAAAAAACATGAATAGCTTGAAGGGATATGGTGACTACTTTGGAGGATAGAAGTGTAGATAGCTCCAGCTTCCACAGAGTTACATGGACCGCATGACAAAGACGTGAATACCCAAAAAGAAATCTGAGAGCTGTTACCCAAAAGAAAAAGAAAAATGAATGATGATTGCCCAAACCGGCCAATTATTTGTCTTACATATATTTTCAAAATATTGGCATATCCAATCATTTTAGAAGGGAAAGGTTTGGATAGTATTAAGAGAGTTGGAATTCTAAAACTTACGTTCTTTAAAAGTAGTAGAGAAATATTACACATGTATTGCTTTCAAATACGAAATAGAGAAATATTACATATGTATTGCTTTCAAATAGGAAAAATGTATATGAAAAGCAGAAGGAATTGGTTTTATGCATGAAATAACTAGTCCTTCACCTTAACATTCTACACACTGGTGAAAAAAAAAATATCTAAAAAAATTGCGCTAGAAAATTGTTGGTGTAAGTTAAAAGTAGTAAATCTACCATGTAAGATTTTAATGTGACTATAGCTTTTCTTAAACCAATCTGAATTAAACAATGGATTCTCATGAAGCCTGAAATTTATGGTGTTCAGCAGAACTGTTTACAATCAGAAATTAAGCTCATTTTAGTGTAAGGAGCTTTGCATATAAGCTGATTTTAGGAGCTGCTGAAATTCAAAATGTAAATGGCTTTAGTAGTATCCCTGCTTTGTAATACAGGCAGTCCAGGCTGCTATCTTTGTATCCCATTAATTATTGATGTTTTCAATTCACTATGTTAAGCTCCAGAGCAGCCAATACATTGGACCACACACATTTCTCAACTGTTTGGCTCCCAGGAGTTTAAATTCCTTATGGCAAGGAAATGAGTGTGCATGTGGTGATAACTCTAAACCTAAAAAAAGAAGAAAAAGAACCATCAGTGTATTCACACTGCTGGTAGTTACCCATTTCTATTCAGATATCAGGTATATAAGTAAATATCTGTATATTTTTAGAATTCAAAAAATTATTAAAAATATTTAGAGAATTTCTAAATTTCTTCATGGATCTTCACTCATCTTTTAGACATCTAAATCAATGTTTTCTCTTATTACTTTCTTTGTTCTATTAAAAATCCTTTCCAATTACTTAGTGACTAATAACAGAAACTGTGCCAAGAGCATTGTCTACATTACATGAAATAACTTTTTTGAAATTCATGTTAGTTATTATAGACCCCCTTTTAATGATAGGAAAACTGAGAGTCAGAGAGGTTTCTGAAAAGTTACCCAAAATCGCCAGGCACGGTGGCTCACGCCTGTAATCCCAGCACTTTGGGAGGCCCAGGCAGGTGGATCATAAGGTCAGGAGATTGAGACCATCCTGGCTAACAGGGTGAAACCTCATCTCTACTAAAAATACAAAAAATTAACCAGGCGTGGTGGCATGTGCCGGTAGTCCCAGCTACTTGGGAGGCTGAGGCAGGAGAATCACTTGAACCTGGGAGGCGGAGGTTGCAAGCGAGCCGAGATCACACTGCACTCCAGCGTCAGTGAGAGAGTGAGACTCCATCTTGAAAAAAACAAGTTATCCAAAATCAATAAAGCTAAGAAAGGGTGAAGTCTAAAATTGATCTCAGGTGTATGAAATTATTTTCTAGGCAGAAAATGTCACCTAGTGTTCCTATCAAATTATACCCTTTCTTTTTCTTCCTCATATATTTAGGTAAAAAAAAAGTATGTTAAGCGAGGATGTGCTTTACATATTAGCATTATTTTAGAAATGTAGGTCACTAAATATGATATCAGAAAAGATTTAGAGAGAGTCAAAAATGTTTACTTCTAAATTTTAAAAAACATCAGTCCCCTGATTTGGATGTCTAAAATATTTGGAGGTAGAAGAAGAATTGACTTTCTTAGACACAGAAGTATGAAGTCACCTCCTAATGTTCAACACGATTGGATCCATAGAAAGATTAAGAAATCCAGTATGAATTTGGAAGAAAATGATCAATATGTTAGAATTAGCTTTAATTTTTCTCCTCTTTAACTGGTATCTGTGCTGGGTCTTTTGGGTTTGTTGCACCAAATCTCCCTTCTAGACTTTTCCTCTGGGGTCATTGGAAGCTGACCTGTGGAGACTGGATCTCCCTGCTGTCAGCATCATCTTCAGTTTGGGTTCAGTCAATGGAAAGTTCTGGCAGATGAGAGGGTAGGAGGAAAAGGAGGTTACGTTTTTCCTTTACAGACTCCCTTCTTGCAAGGTCACTGTCAGATGGCATCGCTCTGGTAGAGACAGCAGTTCTTGTCAGAAGGTCCTCTCAATACATCTACTCATCACGGAATTAGATAACTGCTCCCCATGCTGACCATTTCAGAATGAGGTATGGGAAGCCTATCACTTCTCATGGCTGGGTGAAAATGTTGACTGAATAGAGGAAAAAGATATACTGAACTGTAAAATTCATTACTTAGAAATCTCTCCAACACAAGGTAGTTGGTATACATATTCTAGGTATATCCATCTAACACTCTTGCTAGCTAAAATATCTCTCGATGGTTTCTTTATATTCTGCCCACAGTTTCTAAAATATTCATTTATGAAACTTTGCTTAGTTCCTCACTGTGGCTGTTCCATCTTTTTCCAGGGGGCACACTGACTAAGAGTAATTGACTTTTGAAGTAGCTTTAGGAAACAAGGGTTTTTCACCTTTCAACATTTTAGAATTGTGTCACAATAAGATTGCATAATTGAGCTGCTTATGTATTTAAGAAGAAATAACCTCTTTGCTAGGGGTAATAGACCACTAGTAATTCCATGGCTTGTAGTGGTATCCTGATAACCCACATTATCTCTCCTGGCAGCATGTGATGAAGAATGTTGTGCAGAGGAAGGTCAAGTGGCTAAAGCACTTGGTAACTATGGTAACCAAGATTATTACAAAGATTGTGGAGTCAGTTGGCTTTTTCTGACTAGCCTAGAAAGCATAAACAGTAAAAAGGACAAACTCAAGTCCTGGAATGCCCAATGACGAACAAACAGAAAAAATCAAAAAGTCTTTAGGGACATTTTGAAGAGGTTCTCCTCTCCTCTAGTTGCAGCAAATAGATGCTAAGAGCTGCTAAAGCACCAATTAAATATAAAAACATGAAAAAATATTATGCTACATCAAAGTCATTAATGAGAAAGAAGATCTACCCTGAGATCTGTAGTGGAGACACTTGAGCAGAGATAGTCAATGTTAAAATATTTTAACAGCAAAATTCCCCTGAACTCACTGTGCCAGCAGAGATATCCCCACTGCATGCCAACATCATCCAACACACACACACACACACACACACACACACACACACACACTGAAGGAACCAGCCATTCCCATCAAATACTTGGATGTTTGGCTCTTGTATTAATTATGTATTTTATTCTCTGCACTCAATGCTTTGACATCTGGGGCTTTGCTCACCCTAGAGGGACCTGTTTCTACCACAGTGACCCAGTTTTCAGGGATAGTAAATAGCACAACTACTAGCATGCTTTTCAAATGCAAACCAACTAATCCAAGGTCCACACCCAACTATCTCATTTATTGGACTCACATACTTGAGGACTAACATCCATCTGCCCTAATCACCTCAGGGCTAGGTACCAGACAACTAGAGACAAACCCTAGTTCCCAAAGCCCACTGAAATTATTCAAACTAGCCATCCCTAAAGCTGCTTACTGTCCCATGCCTGTTTCTTCCTGTGAAAACCACAATAAAGGCTCTAACCCATAGGCCCCACCTCTCTCTGCCTCCCGATTAACCCCAGCGCCTCCACCTGTGGCCCTCCAGAATGGAGTGCTCCTTCTCTTGAAAACTGTGAGTTATAAAGCGTCCCTTCAATGGCAAACATCTTCGGATCTGTTGGCCTTTTTATACTTCAAACTTTCAATCAATATGCTATATTTCAAAATCGTCTACAAGCTGTTTCCTCACCTCACGGCATACCTCCACCTCAGCATTTTTCCTTGTAGTCCATAAAAAGTTAGATATTCATAGATTACACTGGAAATTTCATGGATCGACTCAAGAGGAGACACTCAGTACCCCAAATGTGTTGCTGCATATCACCAATTTCTATCAGCAGTGATCTGAGAGACATTTTATGAGAGGATCTAAAGACATTAAACCAGAAAGAATAAAACATAAGTATAGTTTGGGATGAATGTATTAATGGCTATGTATAATCTGGGATTTAGAATTTATTCTATTGAGTGTCTGGAAATGGTAATATTAAAAGAGCTTTAAACTCCCAAATTCCCTGAACCTACCTTGCTAATCTCCTTTATCATCTTAGCTAATTTAAAGGTGAACAGCAGCCTATAGCCATTGATGATCAAATACCAAAGTTTAGTGGCTTAGGGTGCAAAAGCTTAGGTTGTCATGAATGTTAGACCAGTTTTGTTATGTATAAAATGTTTATTCACCTATTTAAAAAAAAAAAAAAAAAAAAAACCTCCTTGGCTGCAATGACCCAAAGGGGACTCTATTCACTAAACTGTTAAGAAAATTATTGGTAAGAAAGGCACTGGCATGTACACTTCTGCAGTGGCTGCCCTCTGTAGCCAGAGCTAACAGTGAGGGATACTGCAATAATATCAGGCTCCATCATTTCAACAGAAACTTAGAGCCCAGATCAGATGGCAATGTTGATCTGTCAAAGGTCATTTGAGTGGATTAAACATAATAAACAACTGAGATGAGTGATAATCATGTTTTGAGAGAAACAGATCTATGGCAATGATTAACTGGTCACGAAGCTACAAAGAATAAAATAGATTGACAGCCTAGGCATGTATAATGTATTCTATTGGAAAATTCTGCGGCTAATGGACAGAAACCTATCTCAAGTTGCAGTAGGGGATTTATGACAGACACATATTGTTCTTTTCCCATTGTCTGAGCATACAGTGAATAGATATATTTACTCACTGGCAGAATTCCTATATAGTTTCTATAATCTGTATAGTGAAGGCAGTTACAGTAGAAAAGGCCAGTTGGAAACCCTTGGATCTTCCCACTCCTGTCAAGAGTGAAGAAAAAGCCAAGCCAGGCTGGGCATGGTGGCTCATGCCTGTAATCCCACCACTTTGGGAGGCTGAGGTGGGCGGATCACCTGAGATCAGGAGTTCAAGACCAGCCTCGCCAACATAGCGAAACCCTGTCTCTACTAAAAATACAAAAATTAGCTGGGGATGATGAGACGTTCCTGTAATCCCAGCTACTCGGGAGGCTGAGGCAGGTGAATCACTCGAACCCAGGAGGCAGAGGTTGCAGTGAGCCAAGATCGTGCCATTGCACTCCAGCCTGGGCAACACAGCGAGACTCTGTCTCAAGAGAAAAAAAAAAAAAAAAAAAAAACACAACTAAAAAAAAAAAGCCAAACCAATCTACAACAGATTTGCAGAGATTAGTACCAACTACATATATTTTTAAAATGTGGAGATGGTGATTCCTATCACATTCTCATTTAATTATCTGTTAGCCAGTGCCAAAGCCAGAACTAGGTCATGGACAATGACCACAGATTATCACAAAATTAATATGATGATGATGATGATAATCACAGTTGAGTTGCCAGAGATGATATCTTTACTAATCAATGCAGATGGTCTCTTGCATGCCGAAGGTTTCTTTTTTCCATTTCTATTAGTAAAATTAACCTGAAACATTTTTGCCTTAATCAGTAGTAATAACAGTGTACCCTTACTGTCCTGACTTAGACCAATGTTATAATGTCCAAAGGTCTCTTGATCAGACTGATTTCTTATTGCTGATATTTTGTGTGGATGACATGATTCTAATCGAATGTCATTATGAGAAATTAATAAGCCTTCAAAGTACTATAATAAGATATGTGGATATAAGACAATGGGTTAGAAGCTCTGCAAAAGTTCAGGGGCTCGTCATATCATGGAAGTTTCTATGAATCCAATAGTGGAGAGAGTATCTCAGAATATACTCTAAAGTGAAAGCAAGTTGCTATCCCTTGCAATGCCCACTGTAAAGACACTCAATGCTTTGGGTAGCTCTTTGGATTTTGAGACAACATGCATCATATTTATGTAGGCTCTTCTAACCTCTTACTGGATAACTCATAAATATGACATTTTTGAATGGTACCAGAAAAAGAAAATAGCCCAAAGAAGGGAAAATATGTTCTGAAATTTGGAGTCATTCAGCAAACTCAAGAGCATTGGCAGTGTTTATGACAGACAGAGGTTTTATGGAACTCTTTGCAAGTCTCAATAGGAGAAACAGCGCAGACCCTTAAGGTTTGATAATAAGGCCTGGCCCTGTCACAAATTCTTCTCTATTTGAAAATCCCCTGTGACCTGGTATTGGTCCCCAGTAGAAACTGAATATTTGATCACAAGATAACAAATAATCATATATCCCCACCTGTACATACTCAACAGGAGGTTGTTAGCTGATCTACTGAATCATAAAATTGAATGGATCCAGTAGTATGCTCCAGTGTAATGGAAAAGGAATTTATGAAACTGAATTTAAGCATAACTTGAATGCAAAGATAAACTGAAGAAGAAAGATAAACACTCAGTTGCGCACATTTTCACTGTTGTGTGACATCTCTCTCAACCTATATCTATGATTAGTATAATATGGTTAACATTCAAATCAAGACAATTTTAAAAGTGCAAAGGAGGCCGGGCACAATGTCACATGCCTGTAATCTCAGCACTTTGGGAATCCAAGGTGGGCAGATCAGGAGGTCAGAGGATCGAGAGTATCCTGGCTAACATAGTGAAACCCAGTGTCTACTAAAAATGGAAAAAAAAAAAATTAGCCAGTTGTGATGGCACACACCTGTAGCCCCAGCTACTAGGGAGGCTGAGGCAGGAGAATTGCTTGAACCTGGGAGTCAGAGGCTTCAGTGAGCCAAGACTGCACCACTGCACTCCAGCCTTGGTGACAGAGCGATACTGCATCTCAAAACAAACAAACAAACAAACAAGCAAAAACAAAAAATAAAACAAAACCCCTGGAAAAAAATGCAAAGCAACACTATTATTAAGAGGGAACAGTGGGTGTAAATTGGAAGCATTCTGGGAAAACCAGGATCTATCATCACCCTATTTATGACCATTTGACAAAGAAAGAAATGAAAGAAAAAAATGTAGCAGTTTGGTTTATGAAACAATGTGTACCATATGCAATCAACTGTCTGATTAGTTGTTACATTAAAGCCCCATTCAGGAACGATCTTCAAAAATAGTCACATAGAGACATCTCTTTAATTAACAGACTTTTGAGAAATTAGAGTACATCACTTCATATAAAAGAAGAGGTGGCCTGAAATATAGATCTATGTTGATTCACGGGCAGTGGCTATTGGGTTGACTGACTTATAAGGGAAATGGAAAGAACAAAATAGGAAGATTGGTGACAGGGAATTCGGAAATATGGGCTTCTCAAACAGCTTAAATATTTAAAACTATTTTGACCCCTATAAATGCTGACTAGCAAGCTGCCACTATGGATAAAGCTCTCCCAAATGAGATAGAGCATATGAATTACGCTGAAGGTGGCAGCCATCCAGGTGCTTTCTCAATGAGCCTATTTATACAGTGACCATGACAGGAGGTATGAGGGCTACGTATGAATTGTACAAGAGGTACTTTCGCATCCAGGCTGATTTGGTTACTGCTATTATTCTCAACCAGACAAAAGTAGATACCTCCCAATTTGGTTTTATTCCCTGGAAGGTACTAACTGGCCATCTAACAATAGGTTGACTAGTTTGGGTACTTTATATCTTGGAGATGTTTATTAGATAGATTTTGTTACAGTAAAAATTGATACCAAAATACCAGTGGCTTAAAACAATGACAACTGTATCGAGAACCATTTCTTGTTCACATTACATGGATTGACTCTGGGTCTGTTCCATTTGGCTTCCATTGTTATTCTAATCTGGGACCCAAGGTGAAAGAGAACCTCTAATTTGAGACATCCTGCTGTTGTGACATTAAAGCATTAAAAGTCTCCATTGTGCATACAAATGATCTCAAACACAACCACTGATTTTTTTCAACCAAAACGATTCACACGAATCTAAACTCAGAAGTAAGGGTGGCCAAGTATCCTCTAAATACCATTTATCAGAAGGCTGAGGAAATTATATCAACAAAGGGCACTGAGGTAAAATCCTCTTATAGGGAAAGGAACTAACATTGATAAAAATAATGCAATCTTTCACAAAATGAGAAGAAATCCCCTTCTCCACATCCACATGAGAATAGACATATATTCCGGATACATATTTACCATCTCTATCTACAGTTCTTCTGCTAGGACTAAGCATATGAAATTAAAGAATGCCTCATTCATTGCCATATTACTCCATACAAGTATTCCTTGATCAAGAGACATATGCTATAGCAATACAAGGATAGCAATGGGTTCTAGCACAGAAAATTTATAGTCTTAACCACGTCTTCCATTACCACAGTATTTTTCAAAGAATAGCTAATAGTCTATAGGATTAGTGTCAATCAAAAAATGTATTATATGCTTTAACTTAGTACTGGGTGTATGGTGCAATCTCTTCCAGAGATGGGATGTATGTCTTTAAGAGCCAAAGAGTAGAATTAGGAGTGGTAACGTACATAATGTGTTGGAAGGATTTTTTCTCTCCATCTCCATTAGCATGGGCTTTCCGGGTGTTTAGATTTTGGTGCTCAAAAAGAGGAATACTTCCATGAGAGAACACCATCGTGATTCTATTAAATTGAAAGCTGAGACTGCATTCTGACAGGCTTGTACTCACTCCCTTTTTTTTTTTCTTTTGGTCCCATAGGCAGAAAAGGGGTCATTGAATTTCCTGAAATGACTAATTCTGATTTCTAAGAGAAAAATTTCTTGTCCCATAGGCAGAAAATGGGTCATTGAATTTCCTGAAATTCTGGTTTCTAAGAGAAAAAACATCCTCCTGCAAAACAATGGGGAAAAGAACAATGTTAGGAGCCCAGGTGATTCATGACTCACAGCAGCTCCCCTTAGTACTGCCCAGATGCATAATTCAGGTCTGTGAGGAAACGCAACAGGGTAACCACAGACTCAAATAAAAATTTGAGTTATTCTACCAGATAAATAATGCCATTCAAATGGGGTGCAGCTAAGACTTGAGAGCACAAGTTGCAGTCAAAGAAGGCACCTGTGATTACCAACATAGGCCTCACAGCTAACTAATGAAGTGAAAATTAAAGCCCCTATGTTTATGTTGTTTATTTTACTTCATTTTAATGCCTGCCAGATTACATAAAGAGAAAGCTAGAATTTTAGCTTCTCATAATAACTAGTATTTCACATTCCATGTCGCTTCCAGAACTTTGTGTGTCTTTTGTATTAGGGACACACCTTTTTCACCTGAAGAACTAATAAGAGGCTGAGGCAGGCAGATCACGAGGTCAGGAGATCAAGATCATCCTGGCTAACACAGTAAAACCCCGTCTCTACTAAAAATAATAATAAAAAAAAATTAGCCAGGAGTGGTGGCGGGCACCTGTGTTCCCAGCTACTCAGGAGGCTGAGGCAGTAGAATGGCGTGAATGAGGGATGTGGAGCTTGCAGTGAGCCGAGGTCACGCTACTGCACTCCAGCCTGGGTGACAGAGCGAGACTCCATCTCAAAAAAAAAAAAAAAAAGAAAAGAAAAAGAACAACAACAAAAAAATAGTAGATGCCAAGAAAAAAAAAGATAAATTGTGCTGTATATTTTTCATATGCCCCTTCCAATATACCCTCTATTCCTTTCAACTCTACTCTGTGGCAAGATGGAATTGTATGAGTTGCACCAATTGACATGTAAATAGAGTCATAAGAGCAAGCACAACTTGTGAAGATATTTTTATCACATGGGAACACTCACCAGTGAGCAGCTACCACAAAAGAGGTATTAGGTAATTCAGTAGGCAAAATGACTTGGCCTACTGATGTCAGATAGCCTCTGTCATCAGTCATGGTCAATGTTGGCTGATTGCTGTTCATTGAAGTGGCCACGGTGTAGTATAAGCCAGGCATGGGCTTGATAAATATGGGTGTAAACTAGGCATGGACCCCAAAATATAGACTCAATCACTAAGGTCCAGCTACTGCAACTGCAAATATCCAAATTTCTAGCAACTGGAACCAATGCTGGGACCTCAATAAGACACCATGCCTGGAAACCAGTTGGAGTAGTGGGTATTGTAGTTTGTCTTACTTGCCTTCTTCTTGTTAGCTTCCCCAGAAAAAGAGACCAAGCAGATCCCAGAAGAACTGTTCTCAGAGGAGGCAAACTTACTATATGAATGGCCCAAGGGTTTGAAAAGCAGTGGAAACCATGGTACATTATCCAGATGTCATGCTTAGGAGTGAACTAATCATTTCCTCAGCTGTTGAGAGTATTACCTGCTGATGGATAATGAGCGAATTTCCTCTTCAGAAATGGGTTCACCCAAAAAGAGCTAACTCATTATTTATGACTGGTGGATATGAGGTGACAAAGGCTGAATCCTTTGTCTCAATTTAGAAGGACCATCCCACTTCCAGATCTGCCCACGCGAGTGGCAATGGAGTCTGCAAGATTGCTATAAGCATACCTATAGAATCTAATATAGCTCAAAAAAAATAAAGTCATTTTGCAACAACTCAGAGCTAAAGGAAGGTGAAGTATCTAAAGCTGAATAAGTTAATGCCAGCAAAGGATGGTTTAATAATTTAAGAAAACAGTTTGGCTTAAAAAATGTTAAGATAATAGGAGAAGCCATATCTGCTGACCAAGAAGCAACAGAGTTCTCAGATGCCATTAATAAAATCATTGAGGAGAAGGCATGTCTACCTGAACAAATTTGTAATGCAGAACAAAGTGCCATATTTTGAAAAAAAAAGTCACAAAGGACATTTATTAATGAGGAAAAGAAGCAAGCACCAGGATTAAAGGCAGGAAGTGATAGGCTTACTATACAATTTTTTTTTTTTTTTTGCAAATGCAATCAGGTTTATGATCAGGACTGCCCTTATCTATAAAGCTGCTCAACCCTGAGCCTTGAAAAGAAAAACTAAACACCAGCTGCCAGTCTTTTGGTTGTACAAGACCTGGGCAATAAGAACACTTTTTCTGGATTGGTTTCAATGATTTTTTTTTTTTTTTTTTTTTTTTGCCCCTCAAGTTAGGAAGTATCTTGCCAGTAAGGGACTGCCTTTTTAAGTTATTTCGATGTTGACCAGTGCCCCTGGCCACCTAGAACCTCATGAGTTCAACAGCAAAGGCGGCAAAGTAGTCTATTTTCCCCAAATACAACATGTCTATTTCAGCCTGTAGGTCAGCATGTCGTAAGCACCTCTGTCTCATTACACACAGTACCCTATGGATAAGATTGTCAATGAAGTGGAAGAGAACCATGATAGAGGGAACATCATGAAACTCCGGAAGGATTACACTATTGAAGATTCCATTGTTGTTACAAAAAGTGACCCGCAAGTCCTCAAGGTTGAAACAATAAATTCCTCCTGCAGAAAATTATATCCAAATGTTGTACATACTTTATTGGATTTATGACAGATCCAGTCAAGAAAACCATGAAACAAGATTGTGGCTATCGCAAAATAGGTAGCGAGTGAAGTCTTTCAAGATATGGATCTTGGAGAGATTCAAGAGCTAATAGACCACACACAAGAAGAGTTAATGGAAGACAAATTGATGGAGATGAGTGCTTCTGAACCAGGGCCAGACAATAAGGGAGAAGATGTAGAAGCAGTGTCAGAAAAGAAACTGACATTAGACAATCTAGCAGATGGGTTCGGATTATTCAAGATGATTTAAATAATCATGTCATTATCTTTACGATACGATCCCCCTGAAACTAAAGCAAATAGTAGAAGAACTGCTACCTTATAGAAACATCTTTATAGAAATAAAAAGTCAGAAATTACAAACTATTTCTCTAATGTGACACTGCATGTGCCTGCCTCTCTCGTCTCCCCTAGCCCCTCCTCCACCTCTTCCACCTCTGCCACCCCTGAGTCAGCAAGACCAACCCCTCCTCCTCCTCAGCCTACTCAACATGAAGATGATGAGAATAAAGGCCTTTGTGATAATCCACCTTCCTTAATGAATACATATATTTTCTCTTTCTTATAATTTTCTTAATATTTTCTTTATCTAACTTTATTAAAATAATGCAGTTTATAATATATATATATATATATATATATATATATATATATATATATATATAACAATATGTGTTAGTTAACCGTGTTTTCACTGAGGGTGTCAATCAACAGTAGGCTATAGTAGTTAAATTTTGGGGAATTAAAAGTTATAAACAGATTTTCAACTGTGCTTGGGACTGGTTTTTCTAACCTCCCCACTGTTTAAGAGTTAACTGTGTATATAAAATATATACAGAAAGAGAAAAACAGAGAGTGGAAGAGAGAGAGAGAAAATAGGTCCCAATATGTAAAATATTGTAGAAAAATAGTATTTCATCAGTTTATTTGCTAACACTTTTCTCTATAATCTATATCAATATAAATTTCCATAGAATGTGCCAAGAAGATGAGACAAGAGTTGTTTTTCTAGTACTGTTCCAAAGAAAAGGTAAAGATATTTTTGTACATAGTTATAAAACGTTTTAAAATAGCTCAAGGTATCCCTAGCTCTAGCTCAATCTTCTTTTTGTTACAATCAGATTTTAGCCCAATTTTTCCAACACCTTACCTGTTTATTTACCTCAAGGACAGTGGTTCTAGTATCACCCAGTGGTAGAATATATTATGGATATGTCAATACCCAGCGACATGTAGGACTACAGTATTCATAATACATTTCATATATTTCTTTAACAGCAGAGGCCCGGTAATTTAAAATAGAATTGGCAGCTAACACAGGAGTGTGAAATCCATGTTGGCATCAACAGAGGGTTTTTCATATTGCTTCTTAGTCACACTCTCAGTTTTTCCTTTCACTGCCCTGGTGTAAAATATTCTTTCCTTTTTTTCCTTTAACAGGTGTTACTAAGAGTCAGTTTCCATGCTATGCTCTTTGTTGAATTTTTAAAAGATATTTAACCTTAGCAGAGGTTTTGAAGAAAGGCTTCTCTGTGGGAACTAAATGTTATTTTACATCAGTCACATTAGGATTCTTATGGTTATTTTCCATTTTATGCAATCTGTAGAGGTCTTCAGCATCAACAAATAGAATGGTCATGTATTCTAACAATGTTGGCTGTTTAAATGCCATTTTCACTACATTTACATTCTTCAACAGCACTGAAAGTGAATTAGTATAAGTTGTCATAAACACAGTGTGCTGTGTTCAAACAAGAGTTTAATCAGACTGACTAGGACAACTCTGCTATTCTTCATGCATTTATTCTGTTGTATGAGAAATTTCGACCTTGGGAAATGGGGGAAATTCACTGGAATAACCTATATATCAAACTCAATGAGTAGAAGTACAAGTAGATATGTTAATTATTTCAAGAGAATCCATACAGTTCTCCCAGAAGCTTACGGAGAGAAAGAAGTAACTCAGGAAGGGGAAAACAAGCAGAATCATCGGTGGATTTCTTTTTCAAAACCTCAAAAATAAGAGAAATAAGAACACTAAAACGTTAGCCAAATAGAATTAGATGTCCCAAAGTCTGCACTAATACATACAAATGAATTAAATAGTACTCAGATTGAGGCAGACACAGACACAATCCAAGAAGCTCTACACTGCAGAAAAAGGATAATCCCCCCAAGCGACCTGTAAAATGGTTAACCTAAGCCTGTGTGCTTGAGAGAGTCTAGGGATTCTCCAGACCTGGTCATTCTCCTACTTACTTGGTTAATGTCATCATAGAATAAGGCTCAGGGAGGCACATATCTGTGTTGTTTTACCTGATAAGTTCTCCACAGCAAAAAGCCACAGAAAAACCAAGGATAGAGTAACTGCAAACACTCCCTCTCCGGGTGACCCATATAAGGTGCTCAGAGTCAATCATTTTGGGCAGACTGCTACTTTAATGTGTTTCTACCCCAACTAACACCTAGAAAAATGGAGAGTAAAGCAGGGAGACTTGCATATTTTACTCATTCATTCATTCATTCAAGAAATATCTATTATGTGATCAGAAGATTTGCACTTCTAGTTACCCATTATACTGGACAGTTATGTTTCATTGTTTTATGCACATCAGCTATATTGCATTATAAAGTGAGAGAAAAACACACAGTGGAAGCAGAAAACAATATAATGGTAACAACAGAAAACCGAAGAGGCAAATTAAAAGAGAAACATGAAAAAAAAACCCACAGGATTAATTAAAAGAGGCAGAACGTCCAATAGATGGTGGAAAACATGTTTAAAGAGGATAGATATAAGAATCCAAAAATACATCAAAGGACAACAGATGCAGGAAAATAAAATATGGTTTGAGTTGAGAAAAGACTGGAGTTTTGAGCCCAAATTACTCAATTTACTGGGCAAATTATTGCTCTAGTTTTATCCCCCAAAGTTCAACTTGATTGAAAAGAAGGTAATTCTACAAGATTACTTTCAGGGAAATTAAAAAAAAAGTCATTATATCTAGATAGAAAATAATCACCCAGGGTGGCATTCTTCTTCTCTTATACTATGTGGAAACTGAAAGATTATATACCAAGTGTTGAGAGGAAAAATATTACTACTCAAAAGGAGTACACATAATAGTTAATAATATAAGCATCCTGAAGAAGTTCATGTAAAACTTACACTCTGATAAAATTCATTACCCAACGTGGGTCCAATCATTTCTTAGCAACTTCACTGCTACATTCATATACCAAATTCTCATTAGCATTATCTGGATTATTGTAATAGCTTTTTAACTGGTCTCTCTGCTTACATCCTAAAATTCCTATGATCTATTCTCATAAAGTGTTCAGAGTGGTCTTGCTAAAATTTCAGCTAAAAAATAAAGTTTTACTCCTCTCTTTCAAGTACTTCAGTAGTAATATATCTCACTCATTGTAAAATCCAAGTTTCTCAGGCTGAACTACAAGATCCTAAAGGATCTGATCTACATTTGTTCTCTTGTCTCATCTACAATCCATCTTCTCTCCCATAGCATGCTCTAAGTACCGTGACCTTCTGGAGCATGCCACATTTAAGACTGCCTCCAAGCCATTCCCTTTCCTGTTCCCTCTGTTTGAAATATTCTTTCCCCAAATTTCCAAACGGCTCAGTCCTTTAATATCTCAGATTTTTACTGTATTATAACCATGATATTAACTGGTGACTTCCGTGGTTTCAAACCTTTAATCCGCTTTTTGAAACATTCCTTATCTCCTTTCCTCCTTTAGTTTTCACCATGCGCTTTTTTTTTTTAACATAGGACTTGTGTTATTTATTTATTTTAGGTCTGTTGCCTTGGCTAGAACGTTAGTAACATAGGAACTGTGACTTTTGTGTCTTTTGTTTACTGCTGCATACAAATGCCTTGAATTTGATTTGATATACACATAAGCTTGTTAAACATTCATTGAAAGAATAAATTTTTGGCCAGGTGCAGTGACTCATGCCTGTAATCCCAGCACTTTGGGAGGCCGAGGCAGGTGTTATCACCTAAGGTCTGGAGTTCGAAACCAGCCTGGCCAACATGGTGAAACCCCATCTCTACTAAAAGTACAAAAAAATTAGGCAGGTATGGTGGTGGGCACCTGCAATCCCACCTACTCAGGAGGGTGAGGCAAGACAATCACTTGAACCTGGTGGGGTGGAGGTTGCAGTGAGTGGAGATGGTGCCATTGCGCTCCAGCCTCAGCAACAAGAGTGGAACTCCATCTCAAAAAAAAATAAAAATAAATAAATACAAATAAATGTTTAAAAATCGATATCCAATTCTCATACATTAATAAACCAAGGTTATATGCCTAATGTGATAAAGATTTTCTATCTCAAAAAAAATAAAAATCATCACATTTGGTGGAAAAAGTGGTGGTTAGATTCCAAAAATAATTGGAGACTGCATACCTCAAGCTGGATACATTACAGTCCAGATTAGTGATCTCATTATCATTGATGTTCACTATCATTTATGGAACTTGTAGCAAATGCCACTAGATAAATAAATAGGCACTTCTATGAAGCAGAAGATAAAATTATCTTCTTCTGTAAATATGGTTATCATCTACCCTGAAAGCACTAAGGAGATCAATAAGAAAAGTAAATGATGTCTAATAAATAATAGCAAATGGGACTAGGTCCAGAGTACAAATAAGAAACTCCCTGGGGACTCGCAGTACAACTTGGGTTCATTGTGAAGTAGGCTGAAGTTTCTACAGATGAGGCAAAAATATAGTTAATGAGGTATTTTATTCTGGTTCTTAGTGTTATCGTCTCAAAATGTATCCCCTGGGTAGGAGGTGCCTGGATAATATGGATGATTCTTCATGAATTCTGAGTGAATGGTTTATCTTTTCTGATTTTCCTCACATAAAGTTCTCTGTTTTCTTATTTTAGGTATTTGTTCTCCTTTGAACAACCTTGTTTTCTTTTTCCTGTGCATCAGTTAGAATTGCAAAGAGTGTTTTAAAACGCTATCAGGACAATACTGGTAGCCTGGGGAATAGAGAAATGCGCACCCTCATGGTCAAAGAAAATTTTCTTGTCAGAATGTTGATTTCTTCCAATTAAATTTAGTAGCAATGCACATGACTCAATGTCGAGGAATAAGGTCCCCTCCTAGGCACTCATATGAAACGAATCATCCTCAGAAATTAATGACTCACAGGTTTAGACCTCAGTTAAGCTGAATCAAACTTAGCAACAAAAATCAAATTACTCTGACATCTTTCTAACTAATTTGTTTGGGTGTTTAAAAAACTCATTTGTATTATATTCTTCCTCATGCTTTTATCTTATTGGTATCTTATTGGTATTATGACATTTCTTTGGGACGCTTTAAGGAAGTTTATTTTCTAGCAGACAGATCATTTTAAATTTGTAATGATATTATATTATATATTGACTTACAAGTGCATCCTGCATTACTAGTCAGCGCTCGTAACCAAGTTGCATTCATTTTTTGATAAGGATTCCTACTTATTCTATGAAAGTTATTTAATTCACCACTTATTTTATTATTCTGCCTTTTAAACATGTTACTAATTAGTCCTCTTTGAATTACGGTCATTATTTTACCTGACATATATGTACATTCACTTACCCTATTCTTATTGTTTTTGTGGATTGAATTGTAATTTTCTTTTCTAAAGTAACCACAATCTTATTTCCTGACATAATCAGTTACCTAATGACAATGACCACCTGCTTATTCTATTTCACTGTACTAGGATTTTTAATGTGTTTATAGATTCTAACAAAAACCATTAGTTAAATTTAGAGTACACTAATTTATTATTTTCTTATCCTTTTTGAGATGGAGTCTTGCTCTGTTGCCCAGGTTGGAGTGCAGTGGCTCAATCTCGGCTCACTGCAACCTCTGCCTCCTGAGTTCAAGCAATTCTCCTGCCTCAGCCTCCTGAGTAGCTTGGACTACAGGTGCACACCACCACACCCGGCTAATTTTTGTATTTTTAGTAGAGACGGGGTTTCACCATTTTGGCCAAGATGGTCTCAATCTTCTGACCTCGTGACCACCCACCTCGATCTCCCAAAGTGCTGGGATTACAGGCATGAGACATGTCGCTCGGCCCTATTTATTAATTATTTACTTGCCTAAATGTAAACTCATTTTCTCAACCTATCACTTTCTTATAGTTTTGTTCACATACACACGCATAAAAAAACACATAATTTATCACACATTTTAGCTAGAAGAAATGACAAAACAAATAACTATCTTAAAATAAAATGATGGCCGGGCGCTGTGGCTCACGCCTGTAATCCCAGCACTTTGGGAGGCCAAGGCGGGCGGATCACGAGGTCAGGAGATTGAGACCATCTTGCCTAACACAGTGAAACCCCATCTCTACTAAAAATACAAAAAATTAGCGGGGCGCGGTGGGAGGCGCCTGTAGTCCCAGCTACTCGGGAGGCTGAGGCAGGAGAATGGCGTGAACCCGGGAGGCGGAGCTTGCAGTGAGCCGAGATCACGCCACTGCACTCCAGCCTGGGAGACAGAGCGAGACTCCGTCTCAAAAAAAAATAAAAAAAAAATAAAAATAATAAAATAAAATAAAATAAAAATTATATGATTGAGAAAATATTTTGGCATTGAATACTAAATTTTAAATATTTGAAAAACTATAGTTGTATATATCTAAAGAATTGGCTACTAAAATCTAAGTAAATCATGATGGGGCCTAAAATCTACAGTCTTTGTCATCAAGAAATTATTATAATAGAAATAAAAGAACTATGAGTGATGTTAAGCATTTAAATTTTTTAATGGTGAAAATGCAAATAGAAGATATAATCAAGTGACTAAAAATTATTATAAAATATATTTTTCCTTTTGCTGAGATATATTTTAAACACATCTGTTATTTCCTAAACTAGAATTACAAAAGGAGAAGAAAAATTAAATCAGTACACTGCAAAAATTTAATGTAGTAATCTCAGCCCAACATAAATGTAAATATTTAAATATAAACAGTATTTAATATTTTTAAATGTAAAATTTAAATATAAAATTAAATATTTAAATATAAATATAAATATAAAAAATTAAATATTTAAATGAAACTTAAATATAAAAATAGATATTTAAATACAGAAATTTAAATATGAAAAACTGCTCAATATAAATTTCCCTAGTCACGATCTTTTTACCCTAGTTCCCATACCTTCCTTCTTTTCTTACCCTCTCTTCTTTTCTGCCTTTATTATTTGTAGATCTTTAAGAAAAGGAAGGGCAGAGGCTTTAGCGTCTGATATATTTTGTTGTAAATATTATTTTATCATATTAAATGTTTCTGTTTTTCATCCAAAATATAATAGTTAATATGTGGTGGAAAATGTTTTTAAAATTTTAAAATAGAAAAAATATGAAAGTTTAACAACCTGAGACAAAAAAAAAATCTCTGTTAATTGTCTTTTACAATAACGTATGAAACTGGGCTGGGCACATTGGCACATGCCTGTAATCCCAGTACTTTGGGAGGCTGGGGTGGGAGGATCACCTGAAGTCAGGAGTTCAAGATCAGCCTGCCCACATGTCGAAACCCCTTCTCTACTAAAAATACAAAGAAATTAGCCGGGCGTGGTGGCAGGTGCCTGTAATCCCAGCTATTCAGGAGGCTGAGATAGGAAAATCGCTTGAACCCTGGAGGCTGAGGTTGCGGTGAGCCAAGATCGCGTCACTGCCCTCCAGCCTGGGCAACAAGAGCAAAACTCCACTGCCCTCCAGCCTGTGTGACAACGGCAAAACTATGTCTCAAAATAATAATAATAATAATGTATGAAACTGGTTGTAGGTTATTTTCAGGATCAAATAAAATATATTTTCTCAAAATAGCCCAGCTAGTTGATATCAATTTTTCTATGTGCAAAATTAGTAACATTTCCTAAAAAATTCCTAATGAAATTATATTTGCTTAGAAATCATAAAATCAATATTTAGTTTACTAGAAAAATAAATTATAGTATAAAGTAAAATATACAGATTATATAAAACTATTAGTTGAGTATAAATATATATCCATACATAAGTCAACATATTCTTTTAACAGACATTTATTTAGTGTATACTATATGCAGAGTCTATGTGTTTATAATCCAAGAGTGAACTAAAGAGATTTAAGTTGTGCAAGAAACATCTTGGTGTCTAAAGGGAAATGAAAATACTATACGATTACAAATAAGTAAATTAAGTGTTATAAATGGGAAGACAACAAGCGCTATGGAACGTCTATGGACATTTGTTTCATGATTTTACGATAAAGGAGACAGTATCGTCCACTGGGAAAGCAAAACACTTTTCAGAAGTAATGGAATTTTCCACATAAAAAGTTAATATAACTTTTAGTGGGAATCATAGGAAAATATCTTTATAAAAATAATGTAAGCAAGGCTTTCTTACATAAGACAAAACTACTACTGATGAAGGAAAGAAATAATAAAGTGGACTATACTAAAACCAACAACTTTTATTTTTTTTAAAAAATGCTATCAGGAATCAGAAAAGGCAACCTCAAAATGGGGTAATCACACCTAACACATGACTTCATTACCAAATACCTAAAGAATTAAAAAATAATAAAACAATTTAAAATGATTAATAAAAAATGTAAACACTTGTCAACAGAAAATATCCAAATGTCCACAGGAAGATAGTAAAACATGCTCAACTACGTTAGTTATCAGGAAAATGCCAATTTAATGAAACTGAGAAACATAGATGCAAAAATTCTAACAAAATATTAGCAAATTAAATCCAGGAATTATATAAATGAAATCATGTATTATTATGGCCAAGTGAAGTTTTTCTTAGGAAGGTAAGGTTAATTCAACATTCCAAAAAATAAATGTTATTCACTATATTAAAATAATAAAGGGGAAAATTACAAAATCAACCCAGTTGACACTGAAAGAAACACTTCATAAAAATCCAAACTCATCTGTGCAAAAAAAAAAAAAAAAAAAAAAAAAAACCCTCTCAGCAAATTAGTAATAGAAAGGAAAATCTCAACCTGATAAAAAGTCTTTACCTGAAATCTACAGCTAATATAATTTTTAATGATGGAACATTGTCTTCATGCTAAATCAAAAAATATCAAGGACATCTGGTTTCATCACTTCTAGTCAACGTTTTTCTGGAAGTCCTAGCCAGTAAAATCAGGTAAGAGGAATAGGTAAAAGCCAACGAGATGGAAAAGTAGTAAAACTGTCTTTATGTCCAGATGACACTGTTATGTACTTTGAAAATTCTATGAAATCATCAGAAAACATCCAGAAGAAACAAGAAAATTTTACAAGGTTGTAGGATGCAAAATAAGTGTAGAAAAACTAATTGTATGCCTAAATATTGCCAGTAAACAACTGGAAAATAAAATTTTTAAATTACATTTGCAATAGTTTTTTTTTTTTAAATTCATAAAGTACATAGGAAAAAAGTTAATAGGAATTATACAAGTCTTTATATTAAAAAATTTAAAACTACGAACACTTCCAAGAATGAAATTAAGAAAAGATCTAATAAATGGAGATCAATGCCACGTTCCTTTACCAGAAGATAAAATATTCTTAAGATCTCAATTATTGCCAAATTGATCTACAATGTATTGCAATTCCAATCAAAAGTTCACCAGGATTTTTCATAAATAGAAATTTACAAGCTTATTCTAAACTATATATGTAAATCAAAAGATTCAGATTCAGTGACAAAACAATCTTGAAAAAGGATAAATTTGGAAGATGACTATTACCCTCCCAAGGTTGTCAAAACAAACATACACATAATGCTGAACATATTTTTGTCAAAGGTGCCATGTAAATTCAATGAAAAAAGCTTACTGTGTACAAAAAACAAACCTACAGAAAAAACGTATATTCATGTAAAAAAGAAATGAACCATGACCCCTTCTTCATGCCATATACACAAATTAATTCAAGGTAGATGACATATTAATAACATAAAGGCTAAACTTTAAAGGGAACATAAAAGAAAATCTTTGTCATTTTAGTGATAGGCAAATATCTTTTAGACAAAACACAAAAGGCACTAGC
Organism: Homo sapiens; assembly: GCF_000001405.40. Classification (NCBI taxonomy): domain Eukaryota; kingdom Metazoa; phylum Chordata; class Mammalia; order Primates; family Hominidae; genus Homo; species Homo sapiens. Next base: position 13,863,754 of record NC_000008.11, on the reverse strand, counting down.
CATAAAGAAAAGTTGGCAAATTAGATTTCATCAAAATTTAAATTATCTGCTCATCTAATTGCACCTGAAATAAATAAAAAGGCAAAACACGGAAATGAAAAGGTAAGCCACAGAGTAAAGAATATTAGAGATTATAAATTACATATATACACATATTATATATATTTAATGTTCTTGCCTACAATGTTCATTATAGCTCTATTTGTCATAACCCCAGACTAGAAAAAAACTCAATTGTGATGAAATATATATTTTGGTTTTTGTTCAGGGTTCCTGACTCACAGCCCCAATAACCCTTGTAATTTCCTAAGTGACTCGAATAATAAAAGCAACTTTTTGAAAATATTTGGCTTTGTATTTCTGAAAGAGCTGCAGAACAGCTTCAGATCCATAAAGGTGAAAAACGACATTTTTGTTATTTATAACAAACCCCTTTCAATCATACCAGTGTTTATGTTCATGAGGTGATTTCTGTAAAAAGCAAAATATTTATACAATCTAGAGAGAAGCCAGAGTATTAATGAGGTGATTTTTAGAAAATCTCTAAATAACTACAAGACTAGGATGCTGGTTGCCAGGGGATACAACCCTGTGATTAGAGGATTGGGACTCACAGCCCTACCCCCACCTACAGAGAGGGGAGAGGAGCTGTAGATCGAGTTGAACGCCAATGGCCTATGATTTAATCAACCATACCTAAATGATGAGAGCTCCGTAAAAGCCCAAAAGGAATGAGGTGAGGGAGCTTCCAGGTTGGTGAATAAGAATATATCCATGTGGTTAGAGGGTGATAGACTCCAAATCTCAGGGGACAGAAGCCCCTGCACTTGAGACTCTTTGAAACCTTGCCCTGTGCATCCCTTTATCTGGCCGTTTATTCGTGTCCTTTAAAATATCCTTTAATTGGGTAAATGCAAATAAAGTGTTTTTTTTCTGAGTTCTGTGAGCTGCTTTAACAAATCAATTGAACCCAGAAAGTGGTCATGGGAATCCCAATTTATAGCCAGATGATCAGCTCTGGAGACCCAGACTTGTGTCTGGTATGGAAACTGTGGGACAGTCTTGTGAAATTGAATCCTCAACCTGTGGCATCTGATGCTATTTCCAGGTAGATAGTACTGAAATTATATTAAATTAGAGGACACCCAGCTGGTGACCATGAAAAAAATTGTTTGCTTGGTGTATAAGGAACCACTCCCACACACACGCATCTTGGGTCACAGAAATATTCTATACTGAGTGTTGTGAGAGTATAGTAAAATAAACAGAGTATCTTACTCCAGTGTCCCTGAAATGCTGAATAGGTGTATAAACACAAATTGTGCAGTAGTTACACAATGGGACACTACTCAACAATAAAAAGAAATTACTGACATATTAAACAACATGCATAAATTGACAAGGCCTGTCAAAAGAAGCCAAATTCAAAAGAGATTCTTTTCATTCGTGGTTGAAAAACAAACAAAATGAACTTGTGGGAATAGACATGAGAACAGAGGTTCCTTCTGTGGTAGAGAAGATTGCATTGGAAAAGATAACACAGAAACTGTCTTGAATGATGGAAATCTTCCATATGTTATTGAGATAACAGTTTCATGTGTGATTATATTTGTTGAAACTCTAAACTGCATACTTAAAAACACATGCATTTTATTACATATGTTATCAATTAATTTTTAAAAAAGGATGCAATGGAGAAAAGAGAATACAAACACTCACATATGGGGTTGTATGCAGCATGCGATAACACTGTTCCCAAGAAAATAGTTAAACTGAAAAAGAACACGATATCCATTTTTGATAAGGAGGTAGAACAACCAGATTTCTCATACACTACTGGTGGTAATGTCAATTGATACAACCACTTTGAAAACCCAACCAGAAGTTGAACATATGCATCTCCTACAACCAATCAACTGTATATCCAGAGGATATTCTCAACAAAAAAAATGTATATTGTGTTCACCAACACTCATTTACTTTACTAGAAGGTTTATAACACCACCTTGGATAAAAAACAAACAAACAAAAACTAGAAAACAACCAAATGCCTCCATCAGCAGCAAAGATAACTATGATATAATGACACAATAAAACTTTATAGAACAAAAAGAGTAAGTGTTTTACAACTACATACAACTAAAGGGTAAATTTCCCAAACATAAGTCGGGCCAATCTACACTCTAAAGAGGCAAGTGTTGACCTGTGGTAGAGGTAGTTTAAGAGAGATTCTGAAGTTCTGAAACGGAAAAACTCGAGCAAGTTATAGATCACTCACTCAAGTGTAGTCAGTATATGGAAATGTATCATACAAAATATGTACTTAAACTCCAATGTTAAAAAGAAGCATTTAGGAAGTTCAATAACGAATGATGTAAACAGATATTCACCATCCTCACCTAAAAGAGGCAAACAGCTCATTGATGACTTTAACTTGTTGACTGGTTCAAACATCCGCCAGAAAATGTTGTAAGCAACATGGTTATAGAAAAGACATTCTGAAATTAGGATTAGGAGATCTAGATCACTGTCCTGGCTCCAACTCTAATTGAACTATAACTTTCATCTAATTATTCAACATTTATAGGCATTAGCACTTTTCACCCATAAAATGAGATAAATACACAGAACATCTATTTAGTTATGTTCACCTCTAAAATTCTTTCAATCTGTTGTGTGAAACTAATAGTTTTAAAATTCTTGATTTCCTAATAAAAATATAAAACGGTAATATATGTTTAATGTTTTTATTTAATTATAAATAATATTTTCCAGAAGGAAAAATAGTTTGTTAACTCTTCATCCCTTTAGTCTTGGCAGTAGCTAGCATTTTGATTAAATTGTAAATGAAGTCTATCGAAGAGCGAAGGAAACCTCAAGAGTTGCTTAACGCTGGTAGTGTTTATGTGGGCCCATGTTCCTCTATATTCCAATGTGATTTCATTATATGAGGTTTAAAATATTTATGTAAGGCTTCTGTTTAGGGGAACAATTATCCTATCTTCATCTTTATGATTTCTAAATGCCACATTAACTGCACTGGTATTGATTCAGATAATAAAATGGCAATCAGTATTCAATGAATTGGATAATTCTCTTACAAACGTGAGAGCCTAGTGTCTATCTGCTTTTATATCCATGTTTTTACTTCAGCTCCCAGGATACCTTTCTTTCACAAACCATTAAGTTTCCCAGTGTATGGAAGCTTTTGGATTATTTAGCTTATCATAATAAAAACAGTCTATGCAGTATAAACAGTAGAAAAGGCAGAAACAATTTGTATGTATTTCTCCTTTTTAGAGTAATAAAATGCCGTCTATAGGATCTACAAATATAGGAATAGACATTTTCAGCCAAAAAATTCTCAGGCATAATTAATTTTGTTTTTTGTTCCCATTCCCCAAACAATAGGTTTATAGAGTATGATTCTTCTCATTGCCAAAAAACAACAAGAAAACAAAAGAAAAAAATAAAGTTCTCCATGGTGAAAACTGTAAATGCTAAGAAGGCAATAAACTTCATGGAATAAGAACTTAAAATTTATAGCAACTATCCATTTATATGAATTTTCACTTTTGAACACAACTTACCCATCTCTTTAAAGCAGAGGGTTGAAGTTTCTATTGCGAACCCCAAATGTCTGAGACAAGCCTCCATCAGTTTAGGAAGTTTATGTTGCCCAAGGTAAAGATGCACGCCCATGAGACAATCTCAGAAAGCCCTGATGACATGTGCCCAGAGTGGTCAGGGCACAGCTTGCTCTTAAACATTTTAGGGAGACATGAGACATTAACAAATATATGTAAGATGTGCATTGGTTCAGTCCAGAAAGGCAGGACAACTCAAAAGAGGGAAAAGGGTTTCCACCTCCTAGGTAGGTAAGAGACAAACAGCGGCATTCTTTTGAGTTTCTGATTAGCCTTTCCAGAGGAGGCAAGCAGCTATGCCTTTATATTAGTGAACAGTGGGATGACTTTGAGTTCTGTCTGTACTTTGTCCATAGGAAATTCCTGTGAGTGAGGTATGTAGCTTTTCAAAATTTTACTATTATTATTATTATTAATCTTAGTAGCTATTTTTTTAAGGAATAGGATGGGAGGCAGGTTTGCCCTAAGCAGTTCCCAGCTTGACTTTTCCTTTTGGCTCAGTAGTTTTGGGGTCCCAAGATTTATTTTCCTTTCACACCATTAAACCACTTTTATGACTGCTTGTTGGGCTAGAAAAGGCAACTCTGTGATACTCATTCTGACCCTTCCCTGTCATTTTTAAGGCAGATTTTAAAAGATTCCAGAGCTGCTTGGGGTAATAAACTTCACAACCATAGACTCGTCTTTCTATCAACACCTCCACTTAAAAAGTTTCAGGCTCACAAAACCCAATGTGCACAAAATTGAACTTATCACCCTCCCAAATCTGTTCACAAGAGATTCAATTTCCGTGGGCTCATGTTTTCATGTGAGAGGACTGAGGGAGGGTAACAACTCTGCCTGCAGAGCAGAAATCTAGCATCCTTGGCTCAGCCTCTCTGGGGCTTCTCTTCTAGCCCTGCCTACCTGCAGAGTGCATGCCCTCCAACCTGTTTTCCTACACACACCACTGAGAGAGGTGATGTTTCAGTAAAACTGTGTCTGACTGGACGGGTATACCTGTTTCTTTTAGGGGTTAGATCACAACTTCATTGTATCCATGTTGTGTAATCATCACACTTCAATTCAGCCTTATCTATAACCAGTATCTTAAACTCCACTCACTCCTCTATTTTTCTTGTTTGGAGAGAGGAAAGGAGGATTAGGCAAACAGAGTCTCACCAAACCCGAGTGTTTTACACATACACATACTTTTATTAATAATTCATATAGTATTGTATTTATCACTTTAAAGTGTACAACTGGTATATTCACAAAATTATTGTGTATTACCATTATCAAATTCCAGAACATTTTTACTACCCCCCTCCCCTCAAGATGCATATGCGTAGTCATTAGAAGTTATTCCCATTCTGCTTTCTTCCCTTCCCCTTGGCAACTACTAATCTACTGTCTGGCTATAAACTTGCTCATTTTGGATATTTTACATAAATGGAATAATATGCAGCCATTTGGATCTGGCTTCTTTCACCCAGCATAATGTTTTCAAGGTTCATCCATATCATAGCATGAATCAGTATATCTTGAATCAGTACTTTTTATGGCTGAATAATATTTCATTGCATGTTTATACTCATTTTGTTTTCCATTCAAAAGTTGATGGATATTTAGTTTGTTTCCACGTTTTTCTATTACAAATAATGCTGCTATATTTGTGCATAACTTTTTGCACAGAAATGTATTTTTAATCATCTGGGGTCTGTCTATATCTAGGAGTAAAATTGGTAAGTCACTAAAACTCTATATTCAACATTTTCAGAAACCACAAAACTATTCTTTATATTGACCGTGTGCCATTATATATTTTTGAGGAAATGCTTAAAGGTTCTAATTTTTCCACATCCTCATCAATATTTGTTATTCCCTTTTTTATCTTAGCCAACCTAGTAGATATGAAATAGTATCTTTATCTTGATTTGGAGTAGGATTTCTCCAATGAGTAATGATGCTGAACTTTTTTTTCATGTGCTTTTTGGCCATTTGTATGTCTTTTTCAGAAACATATCTATTAAAATCCTTTTTCTATTTTCTTAATTGGGTTATTTGTCTTTTTATTGTTGAACTGTAATAATTTTATATATTTTGGATACTGCACATTTATCAGATACACAGCTTGCCGTTATTTTCTCCCATTCTCTATGTTGTATTTTCACTTTTTTAATAGTGTCATTTGAAGCACAAAAGTATGTATTTTTATAAAGAGTAATTTATCTATTTTTTGTTGCTTTTGATTGCTTGTACTTGTAACGTCGTATCTCAGAAACCATTGCTTAATCCATGGTTATAAGGACATACACATATTTTAACTGAGTTTTACAGTTTAATCTGTTACATTTAGGTTTTTCATCCATTGTGAGTTAAGTTTTGTCTATGTGTGCAGAAGAGGTCCTCTGTTTGTATTTTACTCATTTGCAACCTGAGAGAGAAAGAAGTGGTTGTTTTTCACTGGTACTCTGCAAATTCAACAATTACATTACAAATGCTGATGACACCAACTTTTTTGTCTTAATAAATTTAATCTTGAACTTGGAGCTCCAGTTGTTTCTATGCAACTTCTTACTGACATCCATGATTAATAATTAGATGCCTTATATACGCTTTCATAAATTGTATGACCAAACTCTATAATACTTTCAAACATCATGTAAGTTAAACAAGCCCTGAAGTCCAACCCACTATCTTCTCACCACTAAAGAAAATATATAGCCTCTGAACCATCTCCTCTTCTAATTTTACCTTCTAATACTTCATTCTCCAGAAAGAAGCCAGACTGACAATTTGTAAACAACACAACAGATCAAGTCTCTCCCCTGCTTGAAACACTCCGATGACTTCCCTGTGGAGTGATTTTGCCTCTGAGGGGAAACCTGGCAATGTTTGAAGATTTTTTTTTTTTTTTTTTGGTCACAATGGGGTAAGGGACAGTTGCTATTGACATCTAGAGGGAAGAGACTAAGTAGGCTGCTGAACATCCCACAACACACAGGACAGCCCCACAACAATTATCTGGCCCTAAATTTCAATAATGCCAAATTTGAGAAACACTGAATTTCACTAAAATAAAATGCAAACTCCTTACCATGGACCAGAGGGCTCTACAAGACCCTTGTCTGCCTCTCAGATCTCACCTCCCATGTATAAACCCTCTTGCTATACTCCAGCCATATATCTGTTTGTTTGTTTAATATACAAAATGATTTTTCGAATCTCAGCCTTTAAACCCTACTCTTTCCAGCTCAGGCACGGTGGCTCATGCCTGTAGTCTCAGCACTTCAGGAGGCCGAGGTGGGCAGATTGCTTGAGGCCAGGAGTTTGAGACCAGCCTGGGCAACATGGCAAAACCCTGCCTCTACTAAAAACAGGAACATTAGCTGGGTGTGGTGGTGTAGGCCTGTAATCCCAGCTTCTTGAGAGGCTGAAGTGCAAGAATTGCTTGAACCCTGGAGGCAGAGGTTGCAGTGAGCCAAGATCACGCCACTGCACTTCACCCTGGGTGACAGAGCAAGACTTTGTCTCAATACATAAATAAATAAATGAATCTTGCTTTTATCTTTGCCTGGAATGCTCTTCCCCCCAATGTTTGCCTGCTTGGCTGCTTCCCAATGCTCAGGCCACTCTGAAACATTACCTGCTCAGTGATTGAAGCCCTGACAAGATACTGGTCAAGAAAGATACTGGTATATGGAAAGACAGCATTTTAGAAAAGGTGATTATGAGGGAAACATAGGATGAAAAACTGCCTATAAAAGATATGAAAGAATTATAGACTACTTTTATAAATAGCAGATGCTGAATAGCTGAAATTTGTACTGAGGTTGTATGATATGCAATTACTGAGGTTGTATGATATTCTCTTTGAAGGTTGAGCAGCCTGGGATTCGAAGTGCTATACATAAATGTTAACTCATGATTGGGAAGGGATGGGTGAACATGCCCAAATGTCAGTAAGAGGGGATTGAGCTTTCCATGAGGATTCAAACAGAATCAGAAGAATTGCAAGGGAGGTAAAGGAGACGCTTATGTTAACTTCCAGAAAGGGGTCCCGATACAGACCCCAAGAGAAGGTTCTTGGATCTCAAGCAAGAAAAAATTCTAGGAGAATCCATAGAGTAAAGTGAAAGCAAGTTTATTAAGAAAGTAAAGGAATAAAGAATAGCTACTCCATAGGCAGAGCAACAGCTCAACTAAGAATAGAGCTATTTCTTGATTAAATGCTAAACAAGGGATGGATTACTCATGACTTTTCTGGGAAAGGGGTAGGCAATTCCCAGAACTGAAGGCTCCTCCTCTCTTTACAACATATCTGGTAACTTCCTGACATTGCCCGTGGCATCTATAAACTGTCATGGTGCTGGTGGGAGTGTCTTTTAGCATGCTAACGCATTATAATTAGCACTAAGGATCAGTGAGGATAACCAGCGGTCACTTTCATCATTATCTTGGTTTCGGTGGGATTTGGCTGGCTTCTTTACAGCCAACTGTTTTATCAGCAAGGTCTTTGGGACCTGTATCTTGTAATGACCTCCTATCTCATTCAGTAACTAAGAATGCCTTAACCTCCTGGGAATGCAGCCCAGTAGGTCTCATCCTTATTTTACCCAGCCCCTATTCAAGATGGAGTTGCTCTGGTTCAAACACCTCTGACACTTACAGATTGTGAGAAATGTGGAAAGGCAGGCATGGGAAGGCATATTGAAAACAAAGGGCGCAATTTCCATGGGAAAACAATTTAGAAAAGCAAAAGGATAGAAGCCATAGGCAGAGAGATATTTCAGAGATTTGGTTCTTAAAGACAGCAATTCCTATTGATAATCAGATACAAACCATAGTTATTTCAGTGATGACAAAAAAAATAGAATTAAATGAAAATCCATGAAGCTAAGTAGATTTTTTAAAACTCAAAAGATTGTATGCAGGAATGACAGAAGGTCATCACATAAATATTTAATTTCCCAAAGATGATGACAAGAGATGAGGGTGAGAAGACTGTGGATTTTGTGCTGACATTAATCACGACGGTATTAAGCAGGTCCAAAAATTTTTAGGAGTGAACTCATAAAAATTAATAGTGGTTGCTGGGAACGCTCACAGTATGGTGAATGATGTTAAGGCTGGGGCCAGGCTCAACAAGAAAGTGATCGGTGAGACTAAAGGGAAGAGAAAGTAGTGGCACCTATTCTGGGCATTTGTCATTGTTGTGAAAAGGAGTATCTTAGCGATTGAAAGATAGCAAAAAGGATAATAAAAGGGTGTGAAATTCCAGGCTACAAGTAGGGTAGAGTTGATGATCAGGTAATGTTGTGTAAAAGGAAGTGTAGTGGGAGCAAGAAGAATACTGGCTGTCTTTTCAAACACCTGTGCAATGGTGGTGATAAAAGAAGAGGACCCTATATGATAGAACTGATGGGGAACTGACCAAATTGGGGATGAGTCCTGAGAGACAGACTTGGGTTCAGTTAAGTAGCAGAGGTAAAGGTTTTCAAGGAAATGGTTTGGTGTATATAAGACAGACACTTCAGGAAACTTATAACTCAGAGCCTTTCATGAGAGTGCATCTTAGTGTGAAGAATGAGGGCACTTCCCTGCCTCAGTGGCTGCATGATGGAGAGCCCGCTTAAGATTATTTTCCTCCACTTTCTCCTCAAAGTTGAAAATAGAGGATAGTGTTTTAATTGCAAGAAAACATCTCCTCCAGATATCCTTACCCTCTAAGTGAGGGTTGGATTTGCCTCATAAGTTATCACTGAGCCCCATTACTTTTCCTAAGCTGTTTTTAACTTATTTTATGTTGATTTCCATTACATAAATACCATCAAAGGAAAGATGTAGGATTTGATTATCAGTTAAAATGACAGGTGAACTGAAAATCAGTGGGTAGAAAAGCTCAAGAGCCACTTATGATTTTAAAACTGAGCAGACAAGGCCAGTTGAGTAAATAAATGTTGCTTTTAAATATTGCATTAATTTCGCTATCTAGGACAAGGGAAATGATACTATGGATGGTCCTTCCAATATTGAGATTACAGTTGTTAATATGAGATGTCTTCCTAAAACACATAACACACTTTAAAGTGAATCTGGAATGGATGCACTTATAGTATGTCAGTTAAAAAAAAAAGGTCGTAAAAAGACTTCTGCATTTTTATTCACAGATATGTGGCTAGTTTCATATTAAATGAGAGATAAATATTCTATTACTACCTAGAGAACAATAATACCAACATCTCTGGTGAAATTTACTTGTGATATGTATAGCACTATCTTTCTAGACAGAAAGATCTCATATAATGAAGTCACTAGTGATAGTACAGGCCTTCCTTTGGTAATAACAGTTTTTTGCAAAGCTTTTTCTAAAGCTGGATCAGATTCACATATGTTTCTATCATACAGATGATGGCTTCTGAGTCCTTTGGAGCCCTGTCAGTAACCACTTTCTCCATCTCCATATTTTGTGGATTCTTAAGAAAAATCCATGCTTATACAACCATGGAAGAAGTATATTTGGCCATAATATAAGTTATATTTTAGATTCCCAAAAGGTAAGAAAGGCAGGTCTATCATTATTAGCAGCCTGTTCTCTCCTCTGCATACTACCCAAGTACATAGCATTATTAAGATACATAGTACTAATTTTCTAATAAATAAGCGTTAAAGTAACATGTAAACATAAAATACCCTTCGAAACAACACTATCATAGGATGGAATGAAGCACGATTTACGTTAATCAATTTTGCATGGCATTGCTAATCATTCTTTACTGTTTATTCGGGATGGATAGTATGCTAAGAGCTATGTATGTCAACAAAGTATTATTCACACACACACACTTTCTCTGGGAATTTATACATAAAATAATCTGAAGAAGGCAATTTTTAAAATTCAAAGTATATTAGATTTAAAGCACATATAATAAAATGCCTCTTATAATATTAAAGGTTTATCTGAAATTTTATAAGATTTCATAAAAATCAAATATGTAAAAACTTTATTTTTTCCTCAGCTTAAAAATACATAAAGATATATATCTTTATATATAGATATATATTATACACATTATATAAATTATATATATAATATACATTATATAATATATAATATATATTTTATAATATATATGTATATATTTTTTATATATATATTATATATACATATGGCAGAGGGGCCTAGTTTTGTTGCCCAGGTTGTTCTGGAATTCCTGAATTCAAGCAATCCTTCCACCTCGACCTCCCCAAATGCTGGGATGATAGGCATGAACCACCAGGTCAAGCAAAAAAAGTAAACACTTTAGCATAAAACATTAAAATCTCAAATTACATGTATTATGATTTGGTTAGAAATCAAAAATTAGGTAAGAATTGTGGATCTACTCAGAGAACTCAGTCTGAAGTGTGTAATATCTTCTTGTTCATATGCAAATGTATATATTCCATTTCTTAGCTATGTAGCTAAAGATAAGCATCAAGTAATTTTAAAAAAGATAATTATGAGGTTCCTGAATTGTATTTTAGATTAAAGGTCTATTCCCATATTTAACTGAGTACAATTTTATGTCTTCTTTATCATCATTATTACTCATAAACAATTAGTTCAGCCATTAATGATGAAGTAGAAATAATGGTCACCAATATTTCAGCGACTTACAATAATATACATGTGATTGCTACATATGCTACCTGCTTGCTGCTAGTTGTGTTGGAGCCACTGTCACTGTCATTCTGGGGTGCAGGCTGAAGGAGCAGCCCCCATCTGGGACAATGTAGAGCTCATTAAAAAAACAAAAGAGAGTCAGTAAGAAACTGCTAGCAAAAACAAAGCATCATTGTGGTGGTAAAGTAAAATTCCCTCAGGGGAAAGGATACCATAGGAAAGGAAATTAATATATGAGCTGTAAATCAAGCTACCCCAATACATTAATTTTTACTTGGCACTCTAATCTGTTGGAAGAGGCAGGGAATTTGGACAGAGACATTAAAATGGACAAAGGTTAACCTATTCTTTTTTCTTAACCTACTTTGGCAAATCTCCCAGAATTTTAAGTTGTCTTACTATTTACTGCTCTGTTTTCAATTAAACCCTTCATCTCTTGTGTTTATGCCCATTCCTGATAACCCAGCTCTGTTTTCTCCTTATGTCTTCAAGGTAGTGGTTTAACTTCCCTACTCTAACCTTGCTAAACCTGGTCAGAACTTCTCAGGAAGGCTAGAGACTCTCTGCAATACAGGATGTGTTTATATACCACACATATGACATTTTTCTTCACAATCTATTTCAGGAACAGTTTCCTTTTCTTTTCTTTTTTCTTTTTTTTTTTTTTTTTCAGACGGAGTCTTGCTCTGTCACCCAGGCTGAAGTGCAGTAGTACGATCTCAGCTCACTGCAAGCTCTGCCTCCTGGGTTCAGGCCATTCTCCTGCCTCAGCCTCCCCAGTAGCGGGGACTACTGGTGCCTGCCACCATACCCGGCTAAATTTTTGTATTTTTAGTAGAGATGGGGTTTCACCGTGTTAGCCAGGATGGTCTCGATCTCCTGGCCTCGTGATCTGCCCGCCTCGGCCTCCCAAAGTGCTAGGATTACAGGCGTGAGCCACAGTGGCCAGCCTCCGAACAGTTTTCTGAAACACATTTCAATAGTTCACTACTAAGAAGCAGAGCTCTGAATATCTCTCTAATGTTTTCTGATCACAATTTTATAGACAAGCTCTGAATCTGAATTGTTAATCTCAATAGATATGTGCCCAAGCAAAAGCTGTATACCTAATTATTTGGAAGCATTCTTTTAAGAAAAAGTGAGCAATGATTAATATATCTGGGGAAAAAAATTGTCAGATAAACAGTACTGGCAGATATTTTACAACAGGAGAAACTGGAAGTATAAAAAGCTAAAACGGAATAAGACTAAGTGTTTTTATGTTGTTGCTGTTGTTGTATGTAATTTAATTGTTGTGTTCAGGCCCGATTTTTTAAAAGAGAATATATAAGTTTAAGAAAATGGACTTTGTCCATTAAATACATCGTCTGCCTTTTCATCAGTCCAAGAGAACGTATCTCTAATAACCCCTGATGAGCGGAAATAGCTCTGCAAGCGGGAATCACCATTACTCCTCTCTAGCCATCTTAACCTCAGAAATCAGAAAGCTCTATTTTATCCTGTCTTTTGACATCCTGATCTCAAACTCAAGCAACTATTATCTGTCAGAATCATTTGTAGCAGTTTAGAGGGGAGGAGTGCATTTTGTATCTCAAATGAGGAAACTGGGATGGGATGTAAAACTCTGAAGATTCCACTGTTATGGGTGTCAGTTGGGTGTCAGTACAATTTTTCTCAACCTTCTCTACAAACATTAGGCATCCTTCCCAGTAGGGAAATAAATTGATGGCCCCTTCAAGTCAATGACATACTGTTATGTGGGTGTAGTTTATTTTTATTTTTTGTTTGTATAACCATAAACTTATTAGGTTAAAAGAACATCTGACCTCATCACAATCCTGATTATAGTATGAAATATCTCCCATTAGCTGCATGCTACATCCATGTCCAATTCTTTCTCTTAAACTTTGGTCTCTACTCATCAACTTCATTAAGAATATCTTCAGGGATCTGCTATGCACCAGGCACACTTATGTGCCCAGAGGATACAAAATCAACAAAGTCAATAACGTCCCTGATCTTCATCCTCTAGGATTAGCGGTGAAGTGTGGGAATAGGGTCCAGAATGGTGAGAAGTGTAGTTCAACTATAATTCCATTCACATTTCAGAAAATTCATTCTGGTTCAGGAGAGAAGGGGGAAGAGCATGCAGGGATATTTTACTGAAGAGACCAAGACTGGAGGAATTTTGGCAGATTTACTTCTATCACAGAACCATTTTAATCCCTCCTATTATTTTGAGTCTGATAACATTCTTCTAGGATTCTCACTGCAAATCCTACCAAGGCTAATTTACTCATTAGTCACATAAAATGCCTTGCCTCATTCCCTCAAACCCACTGTCCACCCTACAGCTCGTCTCCACAGTTTCTTCTTTCTCCAGAAATCAGTCCATATCCCCAATTCCCTCATAAACCTTCCCAAAGCACTTTTACTCATGTTTGTCACTTTCCAATCATTACAATGTAATCATATACCACCTCCTATTTTTTAATATAACTACCAGAGGTGTCTTATTTACCAACATGTTTTCCATCTCTCTTCATTCTGGCATACAAGAATGGTTCACATCATATCTTGTAGCATTTCCGTATCGTAATGCCTCTAGAGATCAAATAACAACTCAGTGAATAGGTAAATATCACTGTGCAGGTTAACTCTACATAGTGAAAAATGCATCCTGAGCAAAGTCACCAACAGAATGTCTCCCTGAAACCTTGAGGCGTTATGGCATTCAATTGGGTACAGCACCTGCCAACCACTGTGTGAGGTGGTCTGACTTGTGACTGCATGACTAGAACATGTGGATAGTAAAAAAAAAAAAAAAAAAAAAAAAATCAATAAAGTGAAAGCATATTAATTGATGAGCAATACTTTCTTATAACATAAGCACAGTAAAATGGAAATTGTTTTTAAACAATTCTCAGTCTAATTTTTTCTTATAGTGTCATAACCAAGATGACCAAGACAAACTATTTGTTTAAACTTCAGACTGAGGACTTCTGCTGCTTTACTTATAGTTGCTTAGGAATGATGATAATGGTAAATTTTAAGTTCTGCAACTGATGATGATGATGATGATGATCATGATCATGATCATGATGTATGGTTTCTTGCTGTATTACAGTTCCTGTTCTAAGTGCTTTATATATAAAATGACACCATCTTTTCAACAATCTTATTATGATCATTGTACAGATGAGGAAAATGAGGCATAACGAGGTTGAACAAGTCACCCAAGGCAACATAGCCAAACGTAAGGATGGAATGTGAACCAAGATACACAGGTTCTAGAATCCACGCCCCATTCTGCTACATCACACTGCCTCTCCTTGTACCGAAAGCGTCCCAATTATAGAATGTGTATCTGCCATGGTCAATGTCATTTCAGAAGTTTGTAAGGGCTATTCCTTGAAGCTTACACCTGCCCCCCTCAATGTGACTAACAAGTCTTTTCAGTTAGTAACATACTTGCTGAGGGTTTGACAACAAAGACTTAATGAAGATTGTGATAAATTCACACAGACACCCAAGTAAATGTAAGCATCCACAGAAATGAGGAAGAGTAAGTATTATGCCACCAAATAAAATTCATCTTGCCTGAATGTATTTTCATATAACATAATGAGTAAATACAAAATAACCATTATTGCTTACTGAACATTAGCTAGAGTTTAACACTTTTCAGTAATATAGACAAATTACACTTGGCAGGAAAAGCTCTCAATATGCTTACAAGGTATTCTAGAAAAAGATAAATAAATGTGTACTTAAATCAATAAAAGTGAAGACAAAAAGCATGTTTATGGAAATGAGGGTTTCGAAGGAGCTAAATATAATTGAATTCTGGCTATTGCTTTCTTGAAATGAAAATGGCCATTGCTAAGCATTTGATTATTGAAGATAAAACTAAAGTTTTCAATATAACACAGAGTTCATTATTACAAGCAGTGGAAGAATGTTATTAGATCCACAAATCAACAGAAAAATGATACCGTTTTGCTTCAGATAACAGAAGACTCAGTTTTTCTCTTTTTTTTTCTCAGTGTTTTATTGTTATTGTTGTTTTAGCCACTAATACGAGAGAAAAAATTAGCCCATCTTTCCCTTTTTTTTCTTGGAGTATAATGTCTTTCTACATTTAATTTCGTCCTTCCTTGGACGTTATAGTACTTAATCTCTCTCCTTCTCCTTCTTCCTCTCTTGACACTGGATCTCTGCAGATGACTATCTCTTGGTTATTCTTCTCTGATTTTTCTTATTTTAGTAGGTAATAGAATTAAAAAATGATCTTCCCACCAACATACTCTTTCCCAAATAATCAGTTTTCAGAAAGCAGCCATCCACTTATACTCGTTCTTTGTGTACCTTTCCAAAGGGCGTCCGTATCTCTAATGTTTTATATTCCCATATTTTTCTCAAATTACAAATATGCCATAATATTTGATACCTTTCTCTTTTCATTCATTCTACTTGGAGATGTGTCTATGTCAGTTTACATGACATATTTTCGACCTTTAATCTTTTTCTTTTCCACATGTAGTATAATAATTTAAATTATTTTAAGTTATGTGATATTCTACTTATTTTTAATAAAATATATAAATATATTTTTATGGCTAAAATAATTAAATTCCCATGAACTCTCTGTTTTACATAATAATACAATCTTACATATATCATTCGAATGGGTTCATTCCTGTCCTTTTCCAATTCTGCCCAGAGAAGAGAATTATTCTTTTGACATTTGTGTTATAATCGTCTTGGTTTTAAAAATTTTTATATCATACATTTTAACTCAGGAACAATATTTTTTTCAATTTTCCTCTAAGCTTCATAAAATGGAATTTTATTATATAGCAGTCTTTGACATTTGCTTTTTATCTCAATATCACATTGATACTTGATAGTTGTGATACTTTCACATTCATTGAGGTATGAAATTCCATCATGTAAATACACACCACAATATATTGAAACCAATGGCAAAAAGCACAATTACTTTTGCACCAATCTAATATTTACAAATGCTTCTGTTGATGGGCCTGGAGTTTTGTTTTTTTTACTATGCACGAAGCTGCTATGAGAATTCTTCTACGTGTCTCCTAAGAAAATGTAAGAATTTATATACAGTATTTGGCTGAGAATGAAATAACTGCTGATTTGCAGGGTATGTCAGTGCCCAAATTTAAGAGATATTGCCAAATTATTTTTCCAAAATGGTTGTACAAGTTTACACATGAATCAGCAGTATAAAAATGCTCCCACTGTTCACACCCATACCAATGCCTGGTATTGCCAAATATATATTTTCCCACATTTCTTCTAAGTATGCATCAAAGGGTGGATTTGCTGTAGTTGCATATTTAACAGATATCACCAAACTCTTTTGCAAAGTGGCTACTTGAGCTGATGTTTTCATCATTAATTATTTTAATATACAAGAGTTCCCTTTATTCTATAAATATTTTTCTACAAATTTCCCTTCATTTAATAAGTAAAATATGTTATTTTACCTAAGGAAAGTATTTTTTAAATAATCTGTTTTTATTATTTATGTTTCTCTGATACATTTTGCTTTGTTTTTATTTTTGTTTTGTTGTGATTGCTTTGAATGGGCAAAAACTTTTTACAAAGTAGGTTTTAGAGTTGGGAGATTGAGATAGATGCAGACCAGGAACAATCAACTGTAATTTTCTGTAGGCATTTTATCAGTCATTGGTTTATAGAGAAGAATCATATCCTTTATTCTCTCACCTGGGAACTATAAACCCAGATGCCAGCATTCTGTGGGACAAGTAGACTAAGATGAACCTGGGGTTGTATGTTCACTTAGTTCCCTTGTTTTAGCTGCATAATATTTTTTTCTCAGCTGTGTCTAATGTGGTGTATTGGTCAGGTTTCACACTGTTAGTAAAGAGATATTTGAGATTGGGAAATTTACCAAAGAGGTTTAATGGACTCACAGTTCCATGTGACTGGGGAGGCCTCACAATCATGGTGGAAGGTGAAAGGCACGAACCACATGGCAGCAGATGAGAGAAGAGACCTTGTGCAGGGAAACTCCCCCTTATAAAACCATCAGATCTCATGAGACTTATTCACTCTCAGGAGAACAGCATGGGAAAGACCCAACCCCATGATTCAATTACCTCTCACCAGGTTCCTCCTACAACACATGGGAATTGTAGGAGCTACAACTCAAGATGAGATTTGGGTGGGGACACAGCCAAACCATATCATGTGTTGAGTACAGAATCTTTCTGGTTACTTTAGAGAGCAAATCTCCCAATTATTCTGGGTTGCAGGATGGGCACTTACTTATATGCACAGGACGGAGAAAGAAATTGGGATTCTGATTTGTAAAAACAGACTTTCAGCCTTCCCTCTTATTTGCGGATGGCCTAAGCTACAACCCCAATTTTAGGAATTCCACCTCCTTCTACTTCCCAAGTCCTCTGGGTGGGGATTGATGATTAATATGCTTGCTTCACAACTTACCCTGCATTCCAAAGTAGGCTTCAGACCTCTCCTGGCAAGTAAACTAACACTTGTCCCTCTATTTTCCACCTTTGAAGTGTGTGGCTGTCATATTCTCTCCCACACTCCTCAGCAATGTAGGCTGATATAAATTGAGTCTTCATTTCTGCCGCATTAGTTCAGCTGTAGAAAGGAAAGTAGGTATAGTAATGTATTTTATGAACCATGCTCCTTTCCCCGATCTTTCTAGCTGAACCTCCCAACACTGGGACTAAGCACTTTTCTGGTTTCTCATTCCATGACTTTATGAAGATTCCAACCTCACTTTGATCATTTCTGAGCAAAATTCTGGCTTTATCCTTCAGTTGCATTATTTAGAGTAGTGAATTCCCAAACTTTTTAAACCCACTGACATTCCTGATGAATATAAAAGCCTTCTGAATATTGTATCTAATAAGCTCAAGAGCAGACACCATATACCTCATTAAGAATCACTACTATCTGTGTTATCTTAAAACCACAAAAATATTAATCTGGGTTTTCTGTATTCTGCATTGTGAAAAACAATAAAAATATTAAAGATAAAATAATATTATTAAATACAATTAGAGTATATATTTGAAACCACATTGACTTCAGAGAGTTTGACCCTGTTGTAAGTAGTTAAGGGATACCCAGTTATGCAGGTACAAAACAGATCAGCCAACCAGTAGATGGGATTTCGGTTCTAGCCACTTTTGTTTTTTACTATTATAGTAAGACACTTAATCCATCTAGAATTCAACTTTCTCATTAGTAATTTGAAAACTTTTATTTAATGATATGAAAAACTTTCAGCAGAGAAAAAAAAACCATCATGGAACACTTAATGACTTCTTATATGTTAGGAAGAATTTTTGATCTTTAGCCATTTTGAGTGAAGGAAAACAAAACCTTTTTCTTCAATTCAGAGGTCTCTGAACCATTCTTCTGTTCGCCTCTCTGTTGATTTATACACTGAAAACAACTGAGGACCAGTAACGTGACCTCTCTTTCTTTCCTTTGCCAACTTATACATATTTAATATTTTAATCTACTTCTCTATCTTCTCTAAATTTCTTTTTGTTTATCTTTGCCCTTATGTTTTAGGGCCAAGTGACTTCCAGGAATTTTACATAGTATCCCAGACATAGCCATACCCAAGCTGTATAAACTAGAACTTCTGCTTCTCACCTGTGTGCAACCCGACTCTTTTCAAGGCAAACTGCATTGCAAAATTGTGTCTAGATTGTCCCTTTCTATGGCTATCAGATGTCTATATTAAATGACGAGAAAGGAAGTCTGTTCTGCTGGTGGCTAGATGTTTTTTTTTCCCCAATTTTACAGCAGCATAATTCCAAGAAACATTTATTTCTAATTACTGTAACTTATCACACTAATAATTCTTTATTAATATATGGGAAGTTAGGTATGTTAAGGACCTGTCTATTTGAATATGTTAACATATGTCACTCTGCATCTACTAGACTCAATGCTATTAATTCAACAATAAAAGGAATTCCTCAGGAAAACCGAGGGCCTGCAGGCTGCCTGCGTCTTGAGTAAGGAAGGAACAATCCAGAGATCTGCCAATGCCTCACAAGTGTGCAAATCAGCAAATATTCTGAGACTATACACTGTATTGAAAAAGAGGATCGTCAGCTTAATACCATTAGAGTACTGTGCTTTTGTTCTGTACAGCACCAAAATGCAGTTTTCATTCAGGATTAATTTATTTTTTCAAACTATATATGTACTTTTCTGTTTAATTGTAATCCTAGGAGAGCAGCTATATTATCTGCATTGTTGTTATATTCCCAAAACCCAGAAAACAGATGTTCAATAAATGATTTTCAAATGATTGGTGGAATGAAATACAATAAGGAAGGAAGAGTACCTTAGTCTTTTCAGGCTGCTATAACAAACTACCATCCCCTGGGTGCCTTATAAACAACACAAATGTATACATGAATTTTATTTATGAAGCTGAGAAGTACTAGATCAAAATACCAACAAATTCAGCATCTGAATCTGATAAGGGCCCACTCCCTGGTTCATATTGGGGGTTCTGATACAAACATATCAATTTTGCTGGGACATAAACATTTTAGTCTGCAGGAAGAAGTAAAATAGTATATATTCACATATATCTTAGATTACCAAAATTGCAAATATGCTGCCTAAAAATAATAGGAACTTTGCTAATTTACATTCCCACCAATAGTTTACAAAGGATCTCTTTTCTCCATAACCTCACCAATATGTGTTATCTTTTTTGATAACAGCCAATGTAACAGTTGTGAGGTGACATCCCATTGTGGTTTTAATTTGCATTTCCCTGATGAATAGTGATGCTGAGCATTTTTTTTTTCATATATGTGTTGGCCATTTGTATGTCTTCTATTGAGAAATGTCTGTTCAGATCTTTTGCCCATTTTCTAACGGTTGTTTTATTGTTACTATGTTGCTAAATTCCTTCCATGTTTTATATATTAATCTCTTATCCCATATATGGTTTGTAAATATTTTCTCCCAATCAGTGGATTGTCTCTTTACTCTGTTGTTTCCTTTGCTACACAGAAGCTTTTTTATTTGATGCCATCCCATTTCTCTATTTCTGCTTTTGTTCCCTGTACTTTTGATGATACCTAAGAAATCATTGCCCACACCAATGTAATAGAGCTTTTCTCCTATGTTTTCTGCCAAGAGTTTTCAGCTCCAGATTTTAAATCTTTACTCCCTTTTGAGTTGATTTAGTACATGACATGTGGTAAGGGTTCAATTCCATTATTTTGCATGTCAGTATCCAGTTCTCCCAACACCATTTATTGAAAAGACTGCCCTAACCCCATTGTGTCTTCTTGGAAGCTTTGTTGAAAATTAATTGACAAATTTTGTGGGTTTATGTTTTGGCTTTCTATGTTATTCTATTGATCAATGTGTCTGTTTTTATGCTACTTCCATGCTTTTTTGACTACTATGGTTTGGCAAGGTATTTTGAAATCAGATAGTGTGGTATCTCCAGGTTTGTTCTTCTTTCCTACTTGGGGTTGTTCATGAACTTATAAACAGTCTCCTAGGGTATATAATACAGTTTGTCATCCTAGTTTTACAGTGTCTATAACATGATATTTCCTCAAAAATTATAAGCATCTAAGTATTAACAATTTACTGTCTACTACAAATTTAGCATTTTGATGAAAAATTATGTTTGATTATGTAATTTATGACAATTCACCACTGTGCAGGTTTTGTCCATTTTTCTTTTAAAATTTTTCTACAGCAAGTATATCAACTTAAAAGATTTTATATAACACAAAGGAATAAAATTTCAAGAAAATGTTTTGTTTTGTTTTTTTTACTGAACCAAAAATTTAATTCCAGCTTTCAAAGTGAGACGTTTTGTATATTTAAGTTCAGGAGGAATCATTTTTGACTTGTGATATGTTGTCAGTGGAGTGAAAAATAAAAACTGACTTGATTTCTTTTCATTCATGTTCCAAACACTCATGTGTTATATTTTCTCAAAATGTGGCCAGGCCTAAAGTTATCACTCATTCAGCCTCACTTGGGATATAAAAAACTGCTTTATGAGTTGCAAATCATTAAAACATACGTATTTCTTCAAGAGTATTCGGTAAGTCAGAGAAATGCTTACCCAAAGTAAACCCAAAGTAAAAATGACAGTGAGTGGCAGCCTATGAACATACACACACCGGAAAATAAAAAATATTATATATCATGCTAGCATGGTTACTGTAGGAAAAACTACAACAGAACTCAAATAAATGGAAACCTACACATCTCATCATTTGTCTCCTCATCAGTAAAATCGTGTTGAGGCAGCCTTGTTGTCTGGGGTGACACTCGAGGTTCTTGGTCTCACAGGCACAGAGATCAAGAACATGGACACACACAAAGGGTGAGGTACAGAGCAGAAATTTAACAGGCGAAACAAAGAGAACAGCTCTATGCTACAGAGAGGGGTCCCAGAAAAATGAGTTACCAATCTGTGGTGAAATGCAGGGGTTTTTATAGATGACGTAGTGGGAAGGCCGTGTCTGATTTACATAGGACACGAAAAACTTGTTAGGACCTGTTGTGCCATCTGGATAGGGTGTGACTCTCTGCCAGCCCCCACCCCAGTCTTTTATTATGCATGTGGGTTCCCTGTCTGAGCTTCTCCATGTTGTCCATTTGTTACGGTACACATGCTAACAACAAAGGGAAGGTCGAGCCCCATGGTGGACATGCGTGGCTCCCAGGGAGCCCTGTTCTATTGGTGTAGCTGCCAGCATCCCCCCATGCACACTTCCAGCTTCCTTATTTATGTTTGCAGCTCGATCTTTTAGGCTGCTCTTTGTTAGAAAATAAATGATTTCTTGGGCTGATTTTTGTTAGAAGGGAAGTTCTGCCAAAGGACTCTTGCTCTCATTATCTACCTAAATAATGTCTATCTCCTCCATCAGTTTTATGGACAAAAAATTCCTTTTCATTCTATAAAAACATTGTTAGCAATTGTGATAAATGATGCACATGCATTCTATTAAATCTTTCTCTTTTCCCTTCAACCTGAAATTTGAAATTTTTTCCACTAGTTTGGCAGACATGGAATTCTTACAATACCTTTCTAAAATATTTCTGGTTATAATTGAGCCATGGGATTAAAAGCAGTGGCAAATGAGGCCTTTTGCTTGGCACACTTATCATATTATAACTCTACACAGATTACATAGTCAATAGCATTTCCATGATACCTTGACGATCCTTTTAATTGATTGAACTGTATCCATCAATAAAGGTATTTCCAAGACTTAACACCCAGTATCTGAGAATGTGACATTATTTGGAGAAAAGGGTCTTTGAAGATGTAATTAACAATCTCAAAATAAAAATAACCTGAATTTAGGATGGACTCTAAATTTCTTATAAGGACAAGTGTCCCGATAAGAAAAGAGGAAGTTACAGAGATACAGAGGGCAGACAGCTATGCTAAGAATTGCCAGCTTTCTCTGGAAGCTGGGAAAGAGGCATGGAGCAGATTTGACCTCAGAGACTCCAAGAGAAAGCAGCCTTACCAAGTTGATTTTGGACTTCTGGTCTCTAGAACTATGAGAGAATAATTACTGTCGCCTCAAAGCTACCAAGTTTGTGGTAATTTGTTATGACATCCCTAGGAAACTAATCTATTGCCATCACTACCATAACTTATGATGTTTTTTAATCTACCAGAAGCAATATAGGGTATGGTAAAGGAAACAGCTTTGGAGATGGGCTATCTAGGTTCAATCCTGAGTTAACCACTTACCAACTTAAAAAATTATTAAATATTGCAAAAAACTATACAAATTTTATTGGACCTGTATCAGAATTACATACAAAATGTTCTAAAGATATTGCTCACAGTTTTGCCAGCTATGCAGAAAATACCCCATAAATACTAACAAAAATTGTTCTCTATAGGATGCTGTTGGTCATATCTCTGTAACTGAGGTGAAGAGAGATGCAATAGCTTAGGTTTCAAATTAAAATTTACTATTTGCTGTAATGTAAACTTTAGTAAAATGTGGCTTTTTTCATTCATTTGAAAGTTTATCTTTTTGCATATGTGTAAGTGTGTCAGCCATGGAACAGAGAGAAGGTACAGAGAGAAGGTATACCAGGACCAACCACAGAAGAGGAGAAAAGAGACAAGGAAGATAGAGAGAAGCCAGGTTGATGAAGGAGTTAAATACCATGAAGGAATTTAGGCATTGTCTTACACGATGAAGTGCCACTAACGGGAACCAAGCTGAGAAATAACATGCCTTGGTTGTGGTTTATATCAAGTATTCTGTGTTTTATGTAAAGTATTCTGACTGCAGTGTATGAGAATAAATTTAAGGAAGACAGCCCAGTGAAGAAACTTTTGCTGTGCTCTACGTGGGAGATGACAAAGACTCAATTTTATTTTATTTAAATTTTAATTATTTTATTTATTTTGAAACAGAATCTCACTCTATCACCCAGGCTAGAGTGCAGCTGCACTGTCTCGTCTCACTACAACCTCTGCCTCCAAGGTTCAAGCAATTCTCATGCCTCAGCCTCCCAAGTAGCTGGGATTACAGGCATGCACCACCATACTTGGCTATTTTTTCTATTTTTAGTAGAGAAAAGTTTTCACTACTGTGTTGGTCAGGCTGGTCTCGAACTCCTGGCCTCAAGTGATCTGCCCACCTAGGCCTCCCAAAGTGCTGAGATTATTGGCATGAGACACCACACCTGGCCTTCAAAGACTCAAATTTTTAAAAATGGTAGTTGGATAAAGAAGGGGGATGAGATCAATACTTCACATCAAAACTTCTACTCCTTTGAGAATCATTCTACCCTATCCTTTCTGTATTTTCTTTTTTTGTGAGACAGAGTCTCACTCTGTCGCCCAGGCTGGAGTGCAGTGGTGCGATCATGGCTCACTGCAAGCTCCACCTCCCAGGTTCACGCCATTCTCCTAACTCAGCCTCCCGAGTAGTCAGGACTACAGGCACCTGCCACCACGCCCGGCTAATTTTTTGTATTTTTAGTAGAGACAGGATTTCAACGCGTTAGCCAGGATGGTCTCGATCTCCTGACCTCGTGATCTGCCCTCCTCGGCCTCCCAAAATGCTGGGATTACAGGCGTGAGCCACTGTGCCTGGCCCCTAACTGTATTTTCTATAGCTTCCTTTGTAGAAAGGGATTTTTTGACTGAATATGAAATGTGATACAAGAAGATGAGAATAAAAATGACAAATAAGGATGCATGATTAGTAAAAAATCAAATGAAAATGTACAGAAACGAACCATATTTGGGGATAGAGAAATAAAGTGAGCTCACTTTCCCCATGTTAATTTTTGTGGAACAAGTAGAATAACCATATGGAGATACACAGTACCTTAGTCTATGTCTACAGTAAAAAAATAAAATAAAAAAAAAAAAGAAGTCTGACTTATTCATACAAATTTAAGAGTTGGCATATATTTGTTATTAAGATCATCAGGCTGGATGTGGTGGCTCATGTCTACCATCCCAGCACTTTGTAAGGCCAAGATGGGAGGATTGCTTGAGTCAAGGAGTTTGAGGCCAGCCGCACAACACAGTGAGATCCCCTCTCTACAAAAAATAAACAAAATTAGCCAGGCATGGTGGCATGTGCTAGTAGTCTCAGCGACTCAGGAGGCTGAAGTAGTAGGACCACTTGAGCCTAGGAGGTTGAGGCTACAGTGACCCAAGTTTGTGCCACTGCATTCCAGCATGGGCAACATACCTGCCTAAGAAAAAAAAAAAAGGAGAATGTGTAAGATCACCAAGGACAGTGTGTAGACTCTAAGAGTTGTTCCTAAATACAAACATATAGAAACAGAAAGGAGAAAGAGAAGCTGTTTAAGAAGAAGGCAAAAACCAGAGGTATGACAATGACCGGAGGAGCGCTGTGTCATGGCAATGAAAGGAATTAAGAGAGGGAGAATAAGTGTTCTAGCATTCAGAATTCATTCAGCAGAGGAGCAGAATACAACATAGGATTTTGAAGTATGAAGATATTTAAATTAATAATTGTGTCACAGCTTAATGGCTCCTTTTTGCTGACTACCTGGAAAAGCCAATACACTGAGAATGGCAGGGATGTTGCAGTCAAGAGTTTAATTATCACAAAGCAGCCAAGTGGGAAGACTGGAAATATTTCTCAAATCTGCTTCTCTGAAAGCTCAGAGGCTAGGATTTTTAAGGATAATTTGGCAGGCATGAGGCTAGGGAATGTGTGCTACTGATTGGTTGGGTTAGGGATGAAACATTAAGAGTGTCTAACTGTCTTCGTGTACTTGGGTCAGTTTCCAGGTGGGGATCACATGATTGGTTGAGTCAGTTGCTTGGTATGTGGCATGAGTCCAGGTAGAGTCAGTAGGTGAGGAGAATGCAAAAGTCTGAAAAATAGCTCAAAGATCAATCTTAGGTTTTATAATAGTGATGTTATCTACAGGAGCAAGGTAGGGGTGGTGTTTCAAATCTTGTGACCTCTGGCTACAGGACTCTGGCTAGTTATCATTTAACCATGCCTACATCTTGGCAGAATTAAGGCCCCTCCCATAATTTTAATGCTGTGGCCTTTTATTAGCCTTACAAAGATGGTCTGGGTCCCTGAACAAGGAGAGGGTCAGTATTGGGAAGGAATTATTATTCTCCTTGATTAAACATCAAATTGTAAGCCAGATTTCTCCCATATTTAGCTTTGCCAACATTCAGCAATGAGCAAGGGCAGTAAGCTTGTGAGGTTAGAAGCAAGATAGAGTTTGTTTATGCTAGATTCCTCCCACTGTTACAATAGTTGCAAAGCGGATTTCTGTGGAGCTTTCTATAATTGTTAGGCATCTTGAAGGTACCGTTTCCAATTTAGATCTTCTGGAATGACACTCAGTTCAAAAAGAGTTAATACTGCAAAGCCATCACTATAGCTATAAGGAAAACCAGAAGATTCTGCTGCTTTCCCAAGGAACTCTCACAAATGGAATGCTGGAGAATGAGCACACAAAGCTAAAGTCATGCCAGGAATTAGAAAATCAGATGAGGACTCTGTGGCCAATGTCATTTATTGGCAGCAGGACATTGAACACCCGGCAATGGAACACAAGTGAAAGTAACCCACTCATTTCCAAATCTTGTTTACTGGAAGCACTAGCTTCAAGCCACAGATCTGGACTCCACTTTTTCCTGATCTCTCTAGAGTGCCTCTAAAGGAGAAACACATTTGACTTCAAAGATTATAGCTGCAAGACAGCTGGTGAAGTGATTTTAGCATTCCTGTCTTTCCAAATAATAATGTGAAGTGGGATTTAAGAAAGACAATTTGAAAAATTCTTCCACAGTCATCGAATGTAATATAACCTTTCAGCAAAACAAATATTGTAAAATATCAATTGAATGTGCCAATTGAATGTATGAATTACAAGTTACTGGAGACCATAACAAAAATTGCTTTGGTGTCATGGGGAAAGTGAAAAACCATATTAGAGGGATTTAGGAAGTATATGAAACACAAAGAATGATGAGGACTGTTACTGATTAGAAACCAAAGAATGATGAGGACTGTTACTGATTAATCTCCATAGGAAGAAGATAAAAAATATTAAGAGATATTAGTATAAGAAACAGGAAGGTTATTCATTATTGAAAGTAGGGTATAAAAACAATTTTTAAAAAAAGATAAGAAAGAAAGGGGTTTGTTGATATTGTTTGTTTAGCAAAAGGCTATTTAAGCCTATCTAGGCATTGAGGGAATGTTTCCCAGGAAGATAAAAGAGATTAAAGGTAAAATGGGGGAAAAAAAGAGCTTATTCGCTCACCAAGTTCTCTCAAGGGAGCAAAAAAAAGAAACATATGGAAATATTTACTCAAAAGGAACATAAAAACTCATATTTACATCTTATAGAGAAAAGAATAGGGAATATGGAATAGATATGTTTGTAGGTGAGTATAGAAGTGAGATTCCAACTAATGGTCACAGGATCTATTTCTTGTTTTGTTTGCTTTGTTTCTTCTCAATAAGAATAAGGTTGTCCAGTGAGAATGAGGTTAATAGAAACCGAGGAAGGAGACATAGGAAAGTCATAAAAGTTTAGAATAATCATTGTGAGGAATCAAAGGTAGAGCTACCCAAGATCAGTAAAGGTATTAATGAAATGTTTCGAAGTCACAATCAAAGTTACTTATGAGGATATTTTCACCTGTGTATTTTTTGTCTCCACAGCACTTATTCAATGAAGTAAATGAAAAGATAACGCAGATCATAGCAGTGATTCTGGGTTCACTTTGAAAGGATAAATATGACAAAATGGCAGGTGCTGAGAAATCTAGGCTACTGAAAAAGTTGTTCAGACTTTTGACATGAAATTCACGAAAGCCAGTGAAGGAAGGGAGATCAGGAAGTATCTGATACATTCTAAAACAGAAGTAAGATAATAAGGTCTTGGAATCTTTGGTAAAATAAAATGAAGGAAATAAGGAAGTAAAAGAGTTAGAAAAACAGGAAATCATGGTCAGAGAACAGGCAAGTTATATTATAAGGTTCTGAGCTTGACCAGACCAGATTAGGAAAACTTGGAGAATTTGACCCTGCAGGGAGGATGTTTGCTGTAAATGTAAATGGCCATTGAAGCTGCAAAAGCCCGGGGAATTAGACACAAAGCTATTGTTTGGAATTTTATAGGTGATGGTTAAAGACCATTCAAATAATCCAAAGATGTGTAAATCTGGCAACTATGATCCAGGTACCAAAGTCTGAAACAGATGTAGAACCTACAAAGGAAGCTGTAGAAAATGCAGAAAGGATAGGATAATATGATTCTCAAAGGAGTGGAAGTTTTGATACGACGTAGAATACTTGTGTGAAAGTTCTGTTGTGAATCTAGAGAATGAAAACCCTATTTTCTCACTTCAACTATTTGGATTTGAAAATATAATCAGTTCTAGGTACATTTTAATGTGATAATTTCAATGACCAATGAATGTCAGAAGCAGGGAGAAATAGAAGCAAACACTGGGTAGAATTTAATAACTAGGCTTATTTTAAATATTATTAACTAGAAAAGGCTAAAAGTTTTGAATAACCACTGATACTACCAATGCATAATAATGCCACTAAATCAAATAACTTTTTCTTTGTCCTCTAAAATTATTAAAACAAAGATTTCAAGTGACAAATGAAAGTGCCTTTGCAAAAATTATGACAGTGAGATAAATCTGGCATAGTTGACTCCATCTTGCTTCTAACCTCACAAAGAGAGTATGAAAATATGTAGCACTACTAAACCAAATTACTATCATAAGAAATATACCATAACCATACTTTTCCTGGAAGAGCACTATGTGTGTTTTCCATAAACTGCCATAGAAATAAACATTTTAATTTATATTTTTTGAAACTGGGAAACCAAAATATGCCACCCCAAAATATGCTTCTTTGGCACAACTAACCCAGAATATGCTTCTTTGGTATATTTTGGGTTAGTTGTGATGAGAAAGGGCAGACAAAATGAGCTCTGAGAAGCTATCCTTTTGTAAAAGAAATATACACCTATCTGCTTTAATAAAACAAACAGGGGATGCAGGCAGAGGCTTTTTCTGAGGTTGCCTTCTTGGGTTCTAGGAAAGATTAACTCACAGGAAAAAGAGACTAAAGGTCTGACACTTATCAAGGTTTGACAGACAAACTTACTAAAGGCTACACCATCTCTCTGAGGACTGCTGCTCGGGAGACTTCATCTGCGTAACCAGACCGCTTTTGCTCATTATTTAGTTCTTTTCCTCGGCCTCCAATAACCTGTTACCACTTCACTCCAAGAGCTAAAAACCCCTACTCATTTCTGTACAGTATAAAATCTTCAGTCATCTGGCTCATCCTGGAGTCTCACATTTTGTGTGGCTGCTGTGTATTTGCATACAAATTGACTCGTATGCCTTTTCTCCTACTAATCTGTCTGTTGTCAGTTTGTTTTATAGACTAAAATTAAAAAATCTTCAAGAAAGGGAGGAGAAGTTCCTTCATCCGTGGAAAACAAAACTCTTGTTAAACACCCGACATCAGGAGCTGTTTTCACATTTCCTTTGCCAACACAAGAAACAGTTTTACGGTATATCTGATTTTTAAGATTACTCAAACTATATCATTTTCACAATATTTACAATGATTAATTTACATATGGTGTTTGAGAAAGAATCAATTGACAGTTTATTGTAATAAAAAATGAAATTGTTTTTATAAATAGGCTCTTCGAAAGGCAAAACTTTTTGCTGTTAATGATTTCATGTACAACTACCTCCAGTTATTCAAAATTTGAATCTCTGAGTTCCTAATCCTGTGATATTGAGTTTCACTGATACAACAAATATAGTGTGCACATTTTCATTTCCTTTTACAGAGCCTACTGTTGATTCATTAAGAGTGTAAAAAATCTGCAGAGAATTATCTTTAAAGTCCCCGGATAAAAAGTTTGGCAAATAACAGCTGATATAACCTATGAATAAGTCTGTCAGTTTGAAAGCATATAAAGCTTAAATGTCAAAAGGAAGGTTTCCTTGTAAATAGAAAAAAATAGAAGCTATTTTGAAAGTCTATTTACATTACAGGCCAATGGGTTCTTCCTGCTTACTGCATAGCAAAACCAATGCACTGAGAGCAACCAGTTTTGCAGCCAAGGAAGAGTTTAGTAATGACAGGGCCAACCAAGTAAAAGGACAGAAGATAATTCTCAAGTTCACCTCCCCAAGAATTCAGAGACTAGGAATTTTCAATGACAGTTTGGCTGTCAGTGGGTTAGAGAATGGAGAATGCTACCTGTTTGGGTCAGGCATGAAAACACAGGTGGTAAAAGCAGTCTTCTTGCACTGAGTCAGTTCCTCGGTAGGGGTTACAAGACATGTTATCAGTTTCTTAGTATGAGTTGCCAATCCAGGTGTTACCAGCTGGTACATCATAATGCAGTGTCTGAAAAATATCTCAAATACTAACCCTAGGTTTTATTACCATCATATCATCTATAGGAGCAATCAGGAAGGTTACAAATCTGTGGCCTCTGGCTACATGACTCCTGAGACATAATTTTAACCTTGTGGACAATGTGTTAGTTTTACAAAGGTGGTTTTAGTCCCTAAATAAGAAGGCAATTAGTTTTGTGTAAGTGTTGTTATCACCTTTGTTTTAAAGTTAAACTAAATTCCTGCCATAGGTATCTCATCCTCTGCCCAAGAATGAGCAAGAACAGCTTGTACACGCACATATTATAAGAACTGATAACTGAGTCCAGCAATGTTGCAGCATGAAAAATCAACGTACAACAGTCAACTGTATTTCTATGTATTAGCAATAAACCAAAAATTAAATGAAGAAAACAATTTCGTTTAAAATAGCATCAAACAAAATAAAAACACTTGGGAATAAATGTAACCAAAAGAGTATAAAATTTATGCTCTCAAAACACAAAACATTGTTAAACAAATTAAAGAAGAGCTACATAAATGGAGAGGTATCTCGTGTTTAAAGATCAAAATACTTAAGATTGTAAAGGTGGCAATATTCCTCAAACTGATCTACAGTTTCAATAAAATCCCTCAGAATCCCAGCTGGCTTCTTATAGAAACTGACAAGGGAACAAAAATAGCCAAAACATTATGAAAAGAAGGACAAAGTTGGAACACTCGCACTTCTTAATTTCAAAATATACTACAAAGTTAGTGTAAGTATACGGTATTGACATAGTTTAGACATGTCCATCAAGAGTATAAAACAAAGTCTAGAAATTTGTCGTTATGTTTATGAGGAATTTTGTTTTGACAAGGATGCCAAGACAATTAAATGGGCAAATAATAATTGAGCAAATGGTTCTGGAAAAATTAGATATCCACACACTCAAGAATGAAGTTTTATTTGGCTCCTTTCTTACACCATACACAGAAAAATTAACTCAACATTTAAGAGGTGAAGCCATAAACTATCTTAAAAGTAAACTTAAGAATAAATATTTGTGACCCTTAACTGGGCAAAGCCTTTTTACGTATGACACCAAAAGGACAAGTAACAAGAGAAAAAATAAATAAATTTGACTGCATCAAAAGGAAAGAAAAAATGTGTTTCAAAGGATATCACTGAGAAATTCACAAGACAAGTGACAGAATTGAACAAAATATTTACAAACCATGTAACTGTTAAGGGACTTGCATAATAACTGTATAAAGAACCATTACAACTGAACAGTAAAAAGACAAATAAGTCAGTTTGAAAATGAACAAAATCTCTCAATCAACATTTCCGCAAAGATGATCTAAAACTAGCCAATAAACAAATGAACAAATAATCAACATTAGTTGTCATCAGAGAAATACAAATCAAGACCAACTAGAATGAGATACAACTTCATACCCACAAGGATAGCTGTTGTCAAAAAGACACATAATAACAAGTGTTGGGGAAAATGTAAAAATATTGGAACCCTCACATATAAAGGAGAGTGTAAAATGGCTCAGCTCCTATAGAAAATAGTCTGGCAATTCCTAAAAGAGTGTTAAACATGAAGTTTTCATGACTCAGCAATTCCATTCCTAGTAATATACCCAAGATAACTGAAAATGTATGTCTGAACAAAAACTTAATACATAAATGTTTATACCGGTATTATTCATAATTGCCAAAAAGTGGAAATGAGACAAGTATCTATCAACTGGCAAGTGTACAAAATAAAATACAGCATATACACATAATGAAATATCACTCATTCAAAAAGTAATTCATGCTACAATGTGTCTGAACCTTGAAAACATTATACTAAGTGAAAGAAGCCAGACACAAAAGATCACTTATTGTATGATATCATCTATGTAAAATGTCTAAAGCATGAGAATCTATGCAGATAGCCTGTAGATGAAGGATTGCTTAGGGCTGGATGAGGGGTTGGGGAACAATAAGGTATGACTCATTATGGATACAGCATTTCTTCTGGGAATGTTGAAATGTTCTAAAATAGATGGTAATGATTGAAAAACACTGAATATGCTAAAAACCATTGACTTATTTGCTTAAATGGTAAATTATATAGTTTATAAATTTTATGCCAAAAATCTGCTATTAGGGAAACAATTTAAGAAAATTATTCATAACTGAATTTTAAAAATTATTTTATTGGTCCAGGCGCCATGGCTCATGCCTGTAATCCCAGCACTTTGGGAGGCCAAGGCAGGTGGATCACGAGGTCAGGAGATCAAGACCATCCTGGCTAACACAGTGAAACCCTGTCTCTACTGAAAAAACAAAAAAAAAAAAACAAAATTAGCCTGGCTTGGTGGCGGGTGCCTGTAGTCCCAGCTACTCAGGAGGCTGAGACAGGAGAATGGTGTAAACCCGGGAGGCAGAGCTTGCGATGAGCCGAGATCACGCTACTGCACTCCAGCCTGGGCGACAGAGCAAGACTCCATCTCAAAAAAAAAAAAAAAAAAAAAAAAAAAATTATTTTATTGGTACCACATCAGCTTCAACTCTGATGTTGTAAGTATTTCAATTATACTGCCACATAGTTTGTTTCTTACTTTAGGCTATTTTAAGGCGACAACTGAATTATATGAATGAGCCTAGAGGTTATTAGTTTACTTGACAAATAATTGTATGACAGATTTTTATCTTTGTCATTAATTTGTACTGTATATTCTACTATTATACTGTGGCACTTAACTTTATGTGTTTAATAACTTTGAGTATTAAAATAAAATAAATTAGAAACTGGCAATTTTCTCTGAGATTTACGTGACCTATGACAGCTATCAACACATTTAAAATCACAGTTTGGGGTTCTGTTTTGTAGACTATACAATTATAATCATTCCATTAAGGAATTAATTAATAACGATTTGTTATACGTAAGGTGGAGAAGTGGGATCCAGTAAACCTGAAAACCAATCCCAGCTTTCTAACTAACATTTGAACTCATCAAAATCATTTAAATATTGTAAAATTTACTTTTTCATTGTTAAGATTAGGGGCCTTGACTAAAATATACGTAATGTATTCTTAAGGGTCTAGACTGCCAATATTAACACCATAGTAAATATATTTGTTTTCAGTTCTATAGAAATATAGCAATTTATCAAAAAGAACACCATAGATTGGTAGAATATGTTATAAAAATAATTATAAATAATCTAAAAAGATTTGGAGGCAAATAAATAAGAGAAGTTGGCACTTTCCTTTAACTCTTACTGAAATTAAAATACGTGCCAGGTGCAGTGGCTCACACCTATTGTCCCAGCCACTCAGAAGGCTGAAGTGGGAGGACCATGTGAGCCCTGAAGTTAGAGGCTGCAGTGAGCTATGATCTCACCACTGCACTCCAGCCTGGGTAACAGAGTGAGAAATGGTCTATTAAAAAAAAATGAAGAAGAAAATGGAAGGAAGGAAGGAAGGAAAGAAGAAAGGCAGGCAGGAAGGCAGGAAGGAAGGCAGGAAGGCAGGCAGAAAGGAAGGAAGGCAGGAAGGAAGGCAGGAAGGAAGGCAGGGAGGGAGGGAGGGAGGGAATTAAAATAACTTTATTTAATTTACATTTCAGAGTATAATGGGTCTAAACTGAAAACTTTTTCGTTCATCTAGCTCTTCAATCAGGACTTTAAAAATGCTCTTATCAGAGACCTGAGCCTACCAGGTAGTAGGATTACCCTGCTAATCACCATCCTTCACTTGATGACTTTAGACATGCCAAGCTTCTAGTTGCCACAGCTTTTCCCACATTACTATTAAGATCTGAAAGCCTTTTTTGCTTGCTTGCTTGTTTTAGTGGCTGTTAGGACAGTCACCTGCATGGGCAAACCTGCCATTCAAGTCCATTCTTTTTGTCATTTGCTACTTTAGTGATGAGCTGTGACTAAGCATAGGTGTTGTGCAGAGCAAGAAGGATGGTAAGAGGCCTCAGGATGAGTTACAGAAAGAACAAAGGCATGAGTAGACCAGGAAATAGAACTTTGCTTACAGAACTCCTATGCCTGCCTTTATGAGTAGTCCTGGGAAACCTGCTGGTTTCCTTGCCTCTAGGTGAATTTCAAGCGAGTTACAGAGATGGGATGACTTTCCAACACGGTTGTTAAGAAAGGGCTATACTTCAAAACTTATGAGACAAGAAAACAAAGAATCTCTTTCTTGGCACCCCAACTATGAACTGACAATTTGTTAATGACACATTAACAGCCAACAGGAACAGAGTCCGCTCACCTGCTACTTATGAATTTGCTGAACATAGCCCCGACATTCTCAGAAAATGAACTAGAACCATGATGGACAAGAACAACAAAAAAGCCCTAAGAAACACAACTTCTAATTGTCTCTCAATGTCCATTTCTCAGCTTATTTTAATGAAAGATTTCCCAAAATTCATCTGTGTAATGGCTATCACTTGTATTTCCTGACCTCTTTTGAGATTAGTGTAGCCACGTGACTAATAATATAATGGAATGTGAGCAGAAGTGATGTGCAGCTTTCAGGTAACTTCCTTAAAACACAGGTTCTTCCCCTGGACTGTCATAAAAACATACTAATTGAGAAAATTGTTACGGAAAATGCAAAGATAGCCTTTGGAATCCCAAAACTGTTCTAGATGACAGAAAAAAAAAATACTTTCTACCTCGTTTGAGCCACTTGGGTTAGGTCTCTTTGCTAATGCAGCCTAGGCTATACTCTGATTAACATAGTAGGCAAAAGAGAAAGCAAGCACCTAAGATAACTAAGCTATCAAATAAGGAAAAGAAACAAAACATTCAGAAGAAGTGTTCCTAGAAAACCAGTTACTGGACAACAGAGCTTTCACTTACATCAAATGCACATTCATACACACTTTTTAAAGGTAAAATGTGAGGGTGTAATTTTTCTTTTTTTTTCAAGACGACGTCTCAATGTATTGTCCAGACTGGAGTGCAGCGGCGTTATCATGGCTCACTGCAGCCTTGACCTCCTGGGCTCAAGGGATTCTCCCTCCTCAGGCTCTCAAGTAGCTGGGACTACAGGTATACACCACAATGCCCAGCTACTTTTTTTTTTTTTAAATATAGAAAATGAATTGATAATTACCACTATGACCTGAATCAGAAGGCTGCAAATCAAGAGAAAATAATAGCTCAAATGGACAAGAATATACATTCTAAATTAAAACAGAAAGAAGACACAAAATGTTTTTAAGCAATAAACCTTATAGTAGATAAATCTAAATTGACAATGATGGTGTGGCTGAAACTTTTAGTGTAAGGGCTAAATAAAGATTCTGAAATAAAATGCATTACAGATGGATTAAAATGTTTATATCATCGCAATTCTTAGAGTTAGTTGGGAGAAGGGGAGTTTAATGCATTCTAAAGATCTCACTTTGTATCACAATAAACAACTGGGGACCAATACCCATTGGTAAAGGGGCAACGCTGATATCTTCATTTTACTTAATTTTTTAGAAGTCTTCACACAAAGTAGAAACCATAAATTAATAGCAACAGATAAAACATCAAAAGTAAAAAAGAGAAAATGAAAACACACTATAAAATAAACAGAAAACAAAATAAGATGGAAGGCATGGTTTAAGATATTTATGTTGACTGAGTATTGGGTTCAGTGACCCAGTTCTCCCACTGGATTAAGAATCAAGTCCCATCTATATGTTGCTTAAAATAAACTTTCAAAAAGACTTTTAGCAATTTAAATATAGAGATACAGATAAGATGGATGTTAAAAGGATAGAAAAAGATTTATAATGAAAGAGTACTCATAAGAAACCTGGAGTGACTATATAAATGTCAGACATAATAAACTTTAGGATAAGATATATTACTAGAGACAAACAGGGTATTTTATCCCTCTCAAAATCCCAATTCAATTTTTGTAGGAAGTACCATGCTTATTCCCAAAGTTACATGGAAGCAAAAGAGACATAAAATAGTCAAAACAAATTTTAAGTAGAGGACCCAAGAACATTCTCATGACTTAAAGTTCCACTATAAAGCTACAGAAATAATCAAAATAGTGTGGTATTCACAGAGGATAGACATATAGGTTAATGAAGCAGACTGAAAAAGTTAAGAAGTAGACCAAAAAATATACCATAAATTGGTTTTTAACAGAGATACCAAAGTGATTCACGGGTAATAGTATTCTTTTAGCAAAAGCTGCTGCAACAAATGAATATCAATGTTGGGGGTAGGGGGCAGAGGGTACTTACTTTACAGAATAGGCAAGCATTTAAAAAATGAATCATGGTCCTAAATGTAAAAGTAAAAACTAGATGCCACAGAATTTTGTTTTATATTTTCATTTAGTTTAAAATATTTTCTAATTGTTCTTGTTAATTTTTTCTTTGATTCTCAGGTTATTTAGAAAAGTGTTGTTAATTGCCAGATATTTAGTATTATCAAAGACATCTTTCTGCATTAATTTCTAACTTAATTCTGATTTAATCAGAAACTATATCCTGTATTATCTCTTTTGTTTAAAATTTCTGAGGCTTGGTTTATGGCCCAGAAATTGGTTCTGTTTGTTAATGTTCCTTGGACACTTCAATAGTATTATATCGTTTTTATTCTGTAGCTTGTGCTACAATTCTTGATTAAAGCAATTGGATTTTTAGATTTGTTCAAGACTTCTATAGTCTTACCAATTTTTTTCGGGTCTACTCAAATAATTATGGAGAAATGAGACAGACAGGAGAGAAAAGTATGTATACCATGCAAACATTAATCATAAGAAAACTTGTCAAATGGGGTGTATTTTTTCATCCCTTTGCTTCTAACCAGTCCATGTCTTTAACTGAAGTCTATTTCTTGTAATTACCATAAAGTAGAATGTTGCTTTTTATTTAGTCTGAAAGGTCCCCCATTTATTTGCATATATGGCCTTTTACATTTAATGAAATTATTGATGTGGTTGGGGTTAAATACACCACCTTGCTATTTATTCCTTCTTCTTTGTGATTCTTTTATAAATTTTCCTTTCTTTTGGATTAACATGGTATTTTTACTATTAAATTCATTTCCACTCATTAACTATACTTCCTTCTGAAAAACACGTATTCTTATTGTTTGCTATAAAGTTTACCATATGCATCCTTAACTTACCACAATCTAACTTTAACCAATATTATACATCATGAAAAATCTATGCATAATAGTATATGTATAATAGTACACATCCATTTTCTGCCCTTTCCTCCATTGTGCTGCTATTATTCACTTTACTTGCACATATATTATAAAATACAACTTACTGTATTTTTGTCTTCAAAAATATATATTAAATTACAGAAACAAAAAATAGGAAAAATCTTTCATGTTTACTCACATACTTACTATTCCTGGCACTCTCCAGTCCTTCGTGTAAATACACTTTTTTATTTGATTTAATTTTCCTTCTTTCTAAAGAACTACAAATCTCTCAGTATTAATTATTCTGAAGAATTTTTTTCCACCTTTATTTTTGAGTACTTCTCCCATTGGATATAGGTTTTTTTTTCTTTTCACACTTTAAAGATGTAATCCTATTTTTTTTTTTTTTTTTTTTTTTTTTTTTTTGTGGCTTGCATCCTTTGTGTTGAGAAGTCTGAGAAAAAAAATTTCTTACCTTTGTTGCCATGAGATGCATACTATTTTTTCTTTGGCTGCTTATAAATGTTTTTTCTTGTTGCTAGTATTCAGTAACTTAGTTACAGTGCGTATTGTGTGACTTTACAGTTATCTTGTGTAAGATACTCTTGAATCTTTTATATTTTTTCTAAATTTGGAAAAGATACCTACTTTTCTCAAAAATTTTCTGTTTCAGTTATGAACACTCTTAAACTTCCACTATTGCCTTAGATTTTACTTTTTAAAGTATTTTTCATTTTGTAATCCAGTTTGGATCGTCTTTATTGCTATGTGTTTGAGTTCACTGATTGCTTCTGCAGGGCTCAATCTGTTTTTTAATCCCGTCTAGGAAATTTTTTAACACCTGTATTTTTTAAGCTCTGAAAGTTTTGTTTCCAGTTTATACGTTTCTTTTCTCCCTTCTTCATGTTCATGCTTTTCTTTAAATTCCTGAAAATACTCATAATTAACTTTTTAATTCCTTGTCTGTTCTAATTATATCATCTTTGTCATTTCCAGGTAAATTTCTACTGATTTTTTTTTTCTTTTACTTATGGTTTACATCTTCCTGAGTCTTCTGGTGTCTAATACATTTTGATTGGATGGTGGAATCTGAATTCTGCATTGTTGAGTTCTAAATATTGTCTTGCTTTAGTAATCATTGAACTTCATTCCAGAAAGCAGCTAAATTATTTACAGATGCATTTTATGTCAAGTGATTTTTTTAAAAAAACAGCTCTGTTTAGATTATATCTACAGTAGTTTTACTTTAGGACTAGTTTAGTTCTACTAGTAAGGTGTGACATTTCTGTAGTCTATACCCCATGCCTTGTGAATTCAGTGAGGACTCTCCCCCCTGGGGGTTGAAACTCAAATACCTCTCAGCCCTATGTGAGCTCTGGAAATTGGTCAGCCTACAGCCTCATAACATACTTTTCCATGTCTTGTGAAATTTTACCCTAATATATGCACAGCTTCATATTCAGCAAGAGACTCAAATGCCCCAATCATATCTATGAACCCCTTTATCTATCTAGCAGCCTCTACTCCAGTATAGCCCCCAGGTTCTCTGATTTCTGACTCTCCAACTTGGTAAGACTGTCGTGCTTTGCATAGGTTTACTCTTCCTGCACTAAATTACAGAAATTCTTCCAGGCAGAAATCTGGAGTGAACACAAAACTCATCTTATTTCCCTTGCTTCAAGGATCACAGTTCCATATTGCCTATTGTTCGCTTTCTAAAATTTTTCCCCATTTTTCTATTTAAGCCCAGGGGGGTGGTATGTCTGGTCCCATTTACTCTATGTCTAAAATAAAATTTCTAGAATAAAGTTTTTAAGTTGCATCATGGGTATGAGACATTCTGAGGTTAGAGTAACTGTCCTTCAAGATGCCTTATATACCACAAAAAGCTATTAAATGGTCCTGCATTCTTAAATAGGTACAATGCATGTGTGTTGGAAATAAAAAGTAGGAAAAAAAAAGAGCACTCCAATTTCTCTACTAGTTATCCTTCTGTAGATAACTCTCCCTGAAGTATAATATTCTGCAGGAACCGATGTCTGATTTCCAGGGGTGTACTGTGCTCTTATTAAGACAACACAGTAAGAGTTACACTAAACCTAAAACCATGGCTGCTTCATGGTCATCTGGAAGACTTTATTCCAATAAACAGACCTAACAAGGACTTCTATTCTACCATCAACATGAGTATCACAAGGCTTCTTACTCCACAACGGGTACAACGTCAACTATCTGAAACCAAGGAGAAGCCCCAGGGGTGTGTATACTTGCCTCCATGCTTGGTGATAACCAGGAATGTGCAACTGAAGAAACTCCTTAGCAAGGGCAAAACACTATATTCAAGGTCTCAGATCCCTCAGAGAAAAAGGCATTCTTTCTCCACTGGGTGAGCAACTACCATGAGAAGTTGTGCTCTTTTATGGGGAAGAGAATCTAGGATATGTATGAAAATATAGAAATAATATCAATTATGGCTGTGAGAACAACTCCAGCAGTGGGACTATATCTTATCCTAGTAGTCTTCCTGTTGTAAATCATTTTTAGAAATTGTGACTGGTCATAACCTTGAAGAATGAGTGTTAGGAAATAGTGGAATAATTATGGGCCATAGGTGGCTCTGAGAAGAGCAAGGAATACCCTGAAAGACACTCTCAGTGTGATCCCATTCACCTCTACACGCTGAAGGCAATTACTGTGAACTCCTGTGACTCTCTGCCTAGAAAATTTTTCCTTGGCTATTAAAATATGCCTTGACCATGTTCAGGACAAGTTAAAAGGGCAGGGAGTCAGTTTGCCTGAAAACAGACCTCAGTCAATGTTAGAGGAGTGAGCAGTTAAATGTGCCAGCTTTCTCCCACCTAGTCTGGGATGCCTCTGAGGCCAGTTCTTTATTGTCTCCCTGAGTTCTTAGTGAAACTGGTCCCAATTACTCAGTCATGATTGGCTAGATTATGTATCTTTTAGTTGCTTACTTCCCTTCCTTGGTTTACATCCTTGTTTCCTCACCTCCTCCCTGACCCCTAAGAATCACTTTCCAAATGAGCTACTTGCACCCAAATCCTCAGGCCAAAATCGTTCTTAGGGAATACAATCCATTATACTATTTATTAATTGATCCCAATATATGGTGCAATTGGCATTGCAGAAAAGTAAAGCAAGCATAGAATTTTCAGTATCTATGCTAGGACAATTGAGCATCATCTGAAAAACCAAAAAGAAAGATACCTGTTTCTGAATAATTCAATTCCAAATGGACCAAGAATTTAACTGAGTAGAAAACCTTAAACATTTTAAAGAGAGAATATAGGACAATACCTTTATTGCATTTTCAAGGAAAGTAGGGGGAATATATTTCATAGACATGTCCCAAATTTTGAAAATCAAAAGGAAAAGACTCACAGTGGGAGAAGACATTTACAACACAGGATCAATAGCCAGAACACATTAATAATTCCAGTGACTCAACAAGAAAGTAGAAAAAAATCCAAAGGAAAAATGGGCAAAAAAAAACTATTATTTTGGAAACTTGAGTGGCAAGCACCAATAAAAAATACTCCTAATCCAAATCTTGTGGCCTCACAGTATACATGCAGTGTTTTAAATCTACTGCTGTAATGGTTTAAATCACTTGCTTTCTTTGCTTTTTGCTGAAAACTTCAGAAGTAAATGAGGTTCCACTACGTAGACTTGCTTTATAGAAATTATATAGTGGGAAAAATTCTTATTTTTAAAATAAAAATGTGTCCTGAAGCTTTTAATAGAGACATTTTCAAATTGTTGAACAACATGGCCAGTTCTAAGTAAAAAAAAAAGAAATCTCCCAAATGTAATACATATTCTGATATAAGAGAAAATGGTACTTATAAACTGAGTGATAGAAACATATGTTGCCATAGTCGTAAGTTAAATAGAGTATTGAGTTGTCAGAATCTTTTTTCTTACAAATGTTAACAGCCCTTCATCCTGTTATAGTATCTTTAGAAGTATATTTTCATCTTTCATTGTATTATGAAGCATTTCGTATCTTAGCCTTCCTTTGATAGCTAATAACTACCTTGAGTTAATAATACACTTGCTCATCTTCCAGAGATTATACCTTTCTAGCTCAGCCAAAGTCTTACACCGAGATTCATTAATTCCAAATGAAAGAAATACCACTACAAGGCTTAAGAAACTTCAGTAACTTCTTAATTCCTAAAAAAACAAATCACAAAAAGCTTTTCTCTAGCACAATAGATATTTGTATTATGCATTCCAAAACCACCTTCTTAGAAAAAACATTGCAGCACATTTATTTCATTTATCTTTTTACAAAGAGAGAAATGGTATTAATTCTCAACTTCAATAGAAGATGATTTTAAGTACAATAGAAAGGTGGCTGTGGTGAAACAGCAAGTCTGCAAGGAAGCTAAAACATGTGCCTTAGTCTATGACTTTTAACATCAGGCTCTTGTCAAGGAAGTTTTATTTGTTTGGGGAGGCTGTTGTGGTGGTAGTCTACTTCTAGTTCGAGAATCCTTGACTTGAAGTTGTCAGGCCTCTGAGCCCAAGCCATCATATTCCCTGTGACCCACATGTATACATCCAGATGGCCTAACTGAAGGATCACAGAAGAGGTGAAAATGGCCTGTTCCTGCCTTAACTGATGACATTTCCTTGTGAAATTCCTTCTGGCTCATCCTGGCTCAAAACCTCCCCAACTGAGCATCTTGTGTCCCCCACCCCTGCCGGCCAGAGAACAACCCCCATTGACTGTAATTTTCTACTACCTACCCAAATCCTATTAAACGGCTCCACCCCTATCTCCCTTTGCTGACTCTCTTTTCTGACTCAGCCCACCTGTACCCAGGTGATTAAAAAGCTTTATTGTCACCCAAAGCCTGTTTGGTGATCTCTTCACACGGACATGAGTGAAAGAAGTTT
Source organism: Homo sapiens (assembly GCF_000001405.40). Taxonomy (NCBI): domain Eukaryota; kingdom Metazoa; phylum Chordata; class Mammalia; order Primates; family Hominidae; genus Homo; species Homo sapiens. The sequence continues at coordinate 13,821,378 of NC_000008.11, read as the reverse complement.
TACACATTATCTTGCTGTCTCTAAACCAAAATTGTGTATAGCAATTTCATCTGTCCTAGTTTATAGAAACACACCATAAAGTCATTTTAAGAAATGTTTCATGCGTAACAGGCTATAGGTGCTATGGTTTAGAAATGGTTTGTGCCAACCAAAACTCATGTTAAAACTTAATGGCCAGTGTAACAGTGTTGGGAGGTAGGGCCTATAATAGGTGATTTGGGTTCCTTAAAAATGAATGAATGCCTTTCTCAGGAGACTGGATGAGGTCTCACAATACTGGTTTAGTTCTCACAGGAACAGATTTATCTTCAGAAAGTGAGTTGTTGTAAAACAGGTCAGCCTCCTATGTCTCCTTCCTTTCTTTCTCTGCACACACCCATTTCTCTTTCCATATGTATGCCATTTATGACACAGCATGAGAACTTCACCAGAAGCCAACCAGAGGCAGCTACCTGACCTTGAACATCCCAGCCTCCAGTACCATAAGCTAAATAAACCTTTTTTTCTTTACAACTTTTCCAGTCACAGGTATTTCATTATAGTATAAAAGCAAAATACAATCTTGGGACCACAAACTCACTGTGCCCAAGGGAAAAGTTAAACTTGGAAACGAGTCAAGCAAAAACTGCCTTCCTTTTGTTCCCAGATAGCTGTAATTTCATATGCTTACTTTATTGTATGTAAAAATGTAGATTTACTGAGCTCCAATCCAATGCATAATTCAGTACTTCCACACACCTTTTTAGATGTAAACTGTAGATTTACTGAGTACTCATCAGAGCCTCACAAGAATGTAACCACTTGCCCCATTGCTTACTCTCCCTCCTTTTTGTTTTTTCCTTTTTTCTTACCCTCTCACTTGCTCTGCCCCTTTTAAATAAGTTCTCTCTTTGGAATAATAGCACAAGACACAGATCTTACTGCAACTTGTGTAGTTTTTTTCCCCAGGCATGTCCTCAACCTTGGCAAAATAAACCTCCACATTGATTGAGATCTGCCTCAGCCACTTTTTGGTTTAGAGTAGCAACAGAAAATAAACTAAGAGAGAAAATTTGTACCTAGAAGTGTGGTTGCCTCTCTAGTAATACCTTAAAATGTGAAAGTGGCTTCGGAACTAGGTAATGGGTAGAGGTTACAAGAGCTTGGAGATAAAGGCTAGAAAAAGCCTAGAATGCCATAAATGGAATGGTAGGGGTCATTCTTGTGAGGGCTTAGAAGACAAGAAGATTAGGGAAAGTGACTATTCTCAGAGACTGCTTAAGTGGTCATGACCAGAATGCTGACAGTATTGTGGACAGTAAAGGACATTCTAATGAGGTCTCAGAGGGAAATGAGAAACGTCTTAATGAGAACTAGAGTAAAGGCCATCCTTGTTACACAGTTGCAAGGAACTTGGTTCCATTGGGTCCACGCCCCAGGGCTTTGTGGAAGGTGGAACTTCAGAGTGATGAACTAGGCTATTTTTGTGGAAGAAACTTCTAAGCAAAATATAGGAGGAGCTGCATGGTTACTTTCAACTGTGTACAGTGAAATGTGACAGAAAAGAGAAGCAAAGAATAAAGATGTGAAAAATTTGCAGCCTGTCCATGTTAAGAACAAAAAAGCATGTTGAGAAGAATAAAACAAGGGTGTATCCAAGACACCAGTTACTAAAGAGAATCATACTGATATAAGGGAACCAGAGGCAATTGATCAAGACAGTGGGAAAAAGACCCCAAATGTATTTCAGACATCTTCTAAGTTGCTGCTCCCATCACAGGCCTAGAGACCAAGGAGAAAAAAAAATAATTTTGTGTGACAGGCCCAGGGTGCCCTCCACAGCCTCACTGACCAGGGCTTCCTCAATACTCAGCTCCATGCATTCCAGCACAACACTCTTCAACTGTTACAACTTTGGGTCAAGTTCTTCTAGGTGCCTTTCCAAAGCTTACAAGCTGTAAACCTCGGCAGCACCACCCACATCATGGCTTTTAATAGGCCCAGATAGAGCTTGTGCTGCATCTCTGGAAGGTGCAAGCAGCAAGCTTTGTTGGTGTTCACAGGGTGCAGACACACAGATTGCAAGAGCTATGCAGACATGGTTTCCTACACGTAGATTTCAAAGGATGTTGCAGAAGGCCTGTGGGCCCAGGCAGAAACACACTGCAGGCATGGGGCCTCCAAAGAGAGTCTCCACTAGAATGCCCAGTGGAGTTATGGGGGCGAGGCTGCCACCCTCAGGATTCAGAACTGTACAGTCATTGGCAGTGTGCAACACAAGCCTGGAAAAACTGGAGGCACCAGGGTGCAACTGCAACCTCTGAGAACAGCCATTTAGACTGAGCCCAGCAAAGCCATGGGAGCAGGGCTTCCCAAGGCCTTGGGGGCCCAACCTTCACCCCAGTGTGTCCATGAGGTGGTACACAGAATGAAAGATTACTCTGAGATTTTAAGATTAAATGTTTGCACTGCTGACTTTTAAATTTGCTTTGAGCCAGTTACTCCTTTCTTTCTGCCTATCTCTCTGTTTTGGAATGAGAGTATTCATCCTATGCCTGTTCTGTCATTGTGTTTTGGAAGTAGATAACTTGTTTTTAATTTTACAGGCTCACAGCCGGAAGGAGTTTGCCTTATTTCGCGGATGAAACTGTGGACTTTGCACTTCTGAGTTGGTGCTAGAATGCGTTAAGCCCTTTGGAACTAATGGGATAGAGTGATTGTATTTTGCATGTGAGAAGGACATGAGTTTTAGGTGACCAGGGGTAAAATACTAGGGTTTGTCCCCACCACAACTCTTGTTGAAATTTAATTGCCACTGTAAAGGTGTTGTAGGGTGAGGCCTTTAAGAAGTAACTAGGTCAGGAAGATGGATTAATTTATTTCTTGTGAGACTGGGCTCATTGTTGTGAAAATGGATTTGCTTTCACAAGAGTGGGTTGTTTAAAGTAGGTCAGCCTCCCTTCTCCCTTCCCTTCCTTTTCTTTTTTTTTTTTTTTTTTTTTTTTTGAGACGGAGTCTCGCTCTGTCGCCCAGGCTGGAGTGCAGTGGCGCGATCTCGGCTCACTGCAAGCTCCGCCTCCCGGGTTCACGCCATTCTCCTGCCTCAGCCTCCCGAGTAGCTGGGACTACAGGCGCCCGCTACCACGCCCGGCTAATTTTTTGTATTTTTAGTAGAGACGGGGTTTCACCGTGTTAGCCAGGATGGTCTCGATCTCCTGACCTCGTGATCCGCCCGCCTCGGCCTCCCAAATTGCTGGGATTACAGGCGTGAACCACCGCGCCCGGCCCCTTCCCTTCCTTTTCACATGTGCTTGCTTCCCCTTCCACTTTTCTGTGATGCTGTGAAGCAACACAAGGTCCTTGCCAGACACCATCACCATGACGTTGGTCATCCCAGACTCCAGAATCATCAGCCAAATAAATTCTTTTCTGTATATATTACACAATCTTAGGTATTCTGTTACAGCAACAGCAAAATGGACTAACACAAGAGATAAGAAACAATTTATGGCCAGAACAAATTGTTCTGTGTTGCTGTTATTTTCTACTTTCAGGTTCTTGATATTAGAACCTGCCAGGCATAATAGGTTCAGCTAGACCACATAAACCTCCACTAAGTAGTTGTTGAAAACTAACCTGGATTTAACAGATACTACCTGTCCGGATAGTCTGTGCTGTGTTGTTGGTGCCACAAGGTATTTTGGCAGGTGAAAAGGCAATTATTTTGTTAACCAAGAATTAAAGCCGTATTTTTGTCTGTATTTCAAAAGTAGTTTTAGGAGGCGGACAGCTTAATATATTTGTTTTATATTATATAAAGTATTGTTAGTACAATTGTAATTATATGTTAATATGCATATTCATATTCACTTAAAAAAATGGAAAGATAATAAGCAGTAACCAGGGCTGCATATCAAATGTAAATAAATGACAAATTCATATACATGGATTCATTTTTTTAAGATAATTTTGTTTTAAAGGTGATATATGCTTTAAGAGCTTTAATATTAAAAATATGTTTATTCAAGTTAAAAAATAAAATTCAGTACCCTAAATATTTATTTTTATACATTTTTTAAATCGGAAGACATATCTACTTAGGTTAAGAATCCTATATTATTCTGAGTTTTGCTATTGCAATATAGCACATTCAGTCCATTTATATATGAGCATTTTTTGAGGTAAATTATACCCCCCTAAATAATATATGCTTTCAAGATTCAGCAAATATGGTTGATCAGAAAGCACATAATATTATAGCAGGAAGAATCCTCGCATTTAAAAGCTGAGAAATCAGAACCCATGGAGGGAATTTCTGATTTCCCACCTCCATATCATTCTCTTTTGACATGTATTTCATTTTAATCTCTTTCCATATAACACATATTTTTTCATATATACAGATAAATATTTATTGAAAATTATCTAGGTCTAGTCCAAGATGCTAAAAAAAAAAAAAAAAAAAAAAAAACCAGACGAAAATAAAATAAACAGAATAGTTGCCCTGTAGAGTTTCCTAGCAAAAAAAGAACATAATTATAAGTACAGTCATTCTTTGGTATTCTTTGGTATCACTGGGGATTAGTTCTAGAATTCCTGACAGTGGATATCAAAATCTTCAGATGTTCAAATTCCTTACATAAACGGCATATATAGCATTTGCATATAACCTACGCATATTCTTCCCATGTAGTTGAAGCCATCTCTAGATGACTTAAAATGCCTAATACAATTTAAATACTGTGTAATTAAGTGTTACACAATACCACTTTATCTGAATTATTTTTATTGCTGTATTTTTTGTTGTTGTTGTTTTCTGAATATTTTTAATTCACGGATGGTTTAATTGCCAATGCAGAAACTACAGATGTGAAGGCCTGACTGTATTTGTATTTATGAACTCTGTTAAGTGTTATACACGAATAGAAAGTACCATGAGATCTCATTGAGATTTGAAGTCTGAGCGAATCGAAGTCAAATAGAAAAAGAGAGGGAGAAAGGCAGAAAGAAAGCTCTAGGAAAATCCTATAGTAGGAATACGCATGATGAAGAAGAAGAAGAAGAAACTAAAAAAAATTGTAATGGCTGAAAATCATAGACGAATGGGAAGAGTTGTGTCAGATTATGCGTAGCCTTGGTCTTTTCCTAAAAGCAATGAGAATTAAGGCAAGAAGGAATTTAACACAGTGAAACTGTGAAATCAGATTTGCATTTTATTAAGTATAGCAAACAGACTTCAGATAGGGAGCAGCAGTTGTAGAGGAGACGAGTTACGGGACTTTTCAAAGTTCTGGGTAAAAGATGTTAGTAGTCTGCAGACCTACTAAGAGGGATAGAAGAAATAGAAATGAAAAATCTTTTAATATTTGGAAGAGAAATCTTCATGTCTTAGTGATTGATGATTATGAATGAGCTGTGGAGAAATATCAAAAGAAGGATCCTATGATCCCTAACAATGCCATAAAATGGATCGTGGTTCCACTCATCAGAACCTGGAAGAATATGCTTACTACAGATAAATTATAAAATGATATTTTTAAAAGTTAAATTTGAGGTGCACTTGTGACAGCCCAGAAGAAATATTAAAAAATGTAGTTTAAGATACATGTCCACATATCAAAGAAGAAATCTACATGGCAAATAAAAATCTGGGAATAATTGGTACAGAGAAATTCGAAACATGGTAATAAATGAGATCACTTATGGGGGAAATATTGAGTAAGAGGAGAATGGAAATTTCCATGCTGAACAGTTAGGGAAATAAGCAAGAATAAGCAGAGATTCATTAGAGTAGCCAGACAAACAGGAAGAAAGCAGAAGTATATGGTGAAATGTAAGTGGAACTCGTTATTTCAAAAAAGAAAAATAATTTTTGTCATATTTTCCTTAGAGATAAAGTAATTTAGTTTGAAAACTACTCATCGAATTAAGACATGGAAGTCAAGAAAAATGTAGTGAGAGTTTTCTTACAGTTTTTCTTTAACAAAATAGAACAGAATTTGTTAAACAATAAGCCAAATCATTGTAATTAGAGCCATCTAGTACAGAAATAGATATGAAGAAATGGACAAGTAGGGTAGTTAATCAATACCTTTTCTTTTTTAGAGATAGAGCGGTAAGTGGATAAACAAGTTGACTGAATAAATATCTGTTTTGTTCTTAATTTTTAACCTGTACAAGGATTCAGAATGCATAAGTGCCACTTCAAATAACCAAGTAAATGTTTAAAAAAAAAAAGACAAAGAATAAAGTAACAGTTAATAGTATCAGGTCCCTGACAGGTAAAAGTGATATCAAACATTCCTCAAGATAGAGTTCTAATTATTCCTTTTCTACATATTCTTTCTTCTCATCTCATCTCATCTCAAAATAACATATTTGTCTTAGAATTTATTTATATGACTTATTATCTACGTTAGCAGTTATCAAACATTTTTGTTTCAGGATGCCTCTAAAGTAAAAAATTATTGAGTACCCAACAAGCTTTTGCTTTTAGGGATTATAGCTATCAGTATTTGCCATATTAGTAACTAAGACTAAGAAATGTTAAAATATAATTTATACTTTTATATTTAAATAAATGTATCATATGTTAACATAAATACCATATTTTTATGAAGAGCCAATATATTTCCAAACAATCATTTAGTGAGAAGAATTATATCTTTTTGCAAAACTCTGTCTGGATTAACATAACACAGCTGTTTGCTCTTATCTGCTCCTGCATTCATGATATTAATAAATGGTTTAGGTGAAAGTGTATAAAGAAACTGGCCTCACAAAGATAGACCTTTTCAGATCATTATTAATATTTTTCTTTGATACTACACCAAATCTTACAAATCAAGGTGAATTTCAGTGTGGAATATGAAAGCACTGTCAATGAACTTTTATTCTGTGATGTCTTAAATACTATTTGTCTATCTGCAATTTGGGACTTTTTAACTGATTCATGATTTTGTAACATCATGCATTGGTCATTTGAGACTTATTGAGTCACTGAGCTATAAAATATCTAAAAATTCTCATGTGTTAACAATGCCACTGATCTTATCAGAAAAATCTTTAAGTACTGGGAACCTACCAGGCTTATGGTGCTATATATAAGTTTTTATAAGTTCTCTTTTTTACCTGAAAGCTTACATTTTATCACTGGCAATAAATACTGTCGGTTTTATTCCTTTAAGTGATAGATCCAATTTGTTCATTTTGAGAAAACACCCCCTAAATACTCAAATCTGAATTAAACTCTGTCAGACATTCTTTAAAGTTAAATGATGTTCCATTAAAACAAAATGGCTACTTTAGTTCTCAAAGAATTGCACAAGTGCTGTCCTTGGAGACCACTACTTTATGTGGTAAGGAATCAAAGTCCTGCTTTATATATACATTTTGTTACACAGAATACTTAAAAGAATCCAGATTTAATGAAATTTAAAACTTGTACTTCTTTATAGGGACATTCTTAAGTAACAACTGTTTTTTGTGTTTTTTTGTTTGTTTGTTTTTGGAGACGGAGTTTTACTCTTGTCCCCCAGGCTGGGGTGCGATGGCCTGACCTCGGCTCACTGCAAACTCCGCCTCCTGGGTTCAAGGGATTCTCCTGCCTCAGCCTCCCGAGTAGCTGGGATTATAGGCGCCTGCCACCACACCTGGCTAATTTTTGTATCTTTAGTAGAGACAGGGTTTCACCATGTTGGCCAGGCTGGTCTTGAACTCCTGACCTCAGGTGATCCACCTGCCTCAGCCTTCCAAAGTGCTGGGATTACAGGCATGAGCCACCGCTCCTGGCCTTTTTTTTTTTTTTTTTTTTTTTTTTTTTTCCCTGCAAGAATAGACCTTGCTAGGTGTGGTGGCTCACACCAAAAGACCAAACAAAACAAACAACAAAAATGACAACAACAACAAAATAGCTGAACTGGAAGTAAAGAATATACTGACTATTACTAGGACCCTTTGCTGTCATTGCCTTGATTTCTGCCAAGGCACCAGCACTTTCACCCATCATCACTTTGTTTCACTGGCACAAGTATCAGCATAGTGAAAAAGGAAAACAGCATCCTGTTTTATGAAGAAAATAGTTGAGACCTCTCAATTCCTCCTGAAAACATCCCAGAATCCTAGGGATTCATGAATCCCAGAGTACAATGCTGGTATACACCATTCATTCTGCAATTGAACCTGGATGCTTTCAAAATCTTTCAAATGCTTTTTAACCACTATCCTCCACACTTTTTAAATTAAATTGATCTTTTTAATATGAATTTGTGTTGTTTCATAAGACTAGCCTGTTTCTTTTAAAATACTTGAGTTCTTTCTATTACTTTTCTTAGTTGTGACATGCTTTTACTCAAAGTGTTCAAGAAACTGTCAACTGGACATATTTAAATTATTTTAGAAACTTTCTGCATTCCAAAGTGAGTCTGCATGACTCTGCAAATTATTCAAAGCCCTATGTGCTGAATAGGTACCACTTACGTAAGAAATATTTACTTCATTTAATTCCTTTCTGTCAACTTGCTTCTTTTCATATAGACAGTTCATTTCCATTTATCTCTATGAGAGCTCAATTGTCTTTGATGACTCAACATTTAAAAAAATCAGAAGAGAAAATATGTGTCATTCATTCTGGCAAATTATAAGAAATAAAATGTATGAGATGAAAATGAAGGCCATTTCATGGTGAGACACTTTCCAAGAGCAAAGTTTAAAATAGAAAACTACTACTCTTGTACTGGAGAAACAGAGATCCTAGTTGCTGTCTATAGGGGGAGAGAATAGCTTTTTTTCCAAAGATTAAATGAATAAGGATATGATTCTTAGGAAATCTAGAATGAGCAGTGGCTCCATCTCCTCTTCTGCTTACAACTCACATCTGTCATTTTCCTCCCAGTAAGTACTGGAAATGGACATAAACTTGCCTGCATTACAACTAAAGTAATCAAATAAGGAGATCCGTGTCTTCATTTAAAATGTTCTGTTCAAACTAAAGCAGTCTCTGCAAATTTACTGAGAGTTTCCTGGGCTGCTTTAAAATGTCCTTTTGTATCCATTTATTTGCTGCAACTAATGTAGATTCAGTACCAAACACTATCAGAGATACTCTAGGGATATAAAACTGAATATAACTTTGCCCCTCTCTGTAATAGATTTATAAATTAGTGGAAAAAATACGATATATTCACATGTTGCTAAGTTACTAAAAAGCAACTCATGATACATTCCCTAAAGGTTAGAGATAGAGCTAAAAACGAATATAAAATGAGTGAAGGTGACATTTTTAACTGGACTCTCAAAGAGGAAAAGATTTTAACAGGTTGTGAAAATTACAAACGCACTCCAGGTATAAATGAAATACGAGGTATAAAAGACACAAAAGAAAAATAATATGTAATAGTCAAAGTGTGCTTGACAGTTGGCAATGAACTCAGTTAATTGGATCCAACTTACCAGGACTTAATAGAATAGAAAGAAACTGAATTAACATCAGAGAGCTGTGCCTCAATTTAGGTTATACCACTTGTGGTTATGTGAATTGGACACATCACTTTATCTTTTTATGTCTCACTTCTTCGTCTGTAGAATTAGTATTATGAGCCCTGCCTTTCCTACACTGCTAGAATCAAATAATACATTCACAAATGCATAAGAACTACGAAATAATATATTTCTTGGGTTTTAAATTTTTTTTATTTTTTTTTTTAAGACGGAGTCTTGCTCTCTCGCCCAAGCTGGAGTGCAGTGGTGTGATCTCAGCTCACTACAACCTTCACTTCTTGGATTCAAGTGATCCTCCTGCCTCAGCCTCCCGATAGCTGCAACTACAGACATGCGCCACCATGCCAGGCTAATTTTTGCATTTTTAGCAGAGATGGAGTTTCGTCATGTTGGCCAGACTGGTCTTGAACTCCTGACCTCAGGTGATCCCCATACCTCGGCCTCCCAGAGTCTTGGGATTACAAGTGTGAGCCACCGCACCAGGCCACCATTTGTTTTATTATAATTTTTAAACATTTATTTTTTATTTAGATATTTATCATAATACCTGGCTGAAATATATACATCAAAATTTAGTACTTGTCAAAGCTGAAAATGGAAACCAGGAGAACAAACTAGAATATGCATTACATAGTTTAGAGCAGCACTAATAAAAAATTCTGGAATGTTGGAAATATTCTAAATCTATGTTGACCAGTACAGTGGCTACTTGCCACATTCATCTGTCCAGCAATTTGAAATATGGTTACTGCAACTGAAGAATTAAATGTTTACTTTTTCTTAATTTTAATCAACATAAACTAGAGTTAAGCGCTACATGTGGCAACCGGCTGTTGTATTAGTGCAAGTTTCAAAAATGGTACCTATAAAAAAAAATAAAATAGAACCAACGACTGAACTTATTACTAACATTTCTACTGAGTCTAAGATTTCAAAGTAAAAATGCTAATCACAAATCTCCTAGAGGCAAATGAAGTCATTATTTTAAATAGCCACTGACTATGGAAGATCACTTAAAATGTAGTGTTTTTTTAATTCACAGAGAAAAGCGATGATGGAATCACTTTACTTTTTCATGCAAGAAACAAATTTCTGAATGAAAAATGTAGATTACATATTATTAACAAAAATGTCAACAAGAATCAAAGTCAAATTATACAATCTCTTAGTAGGAAAAAAAAGATAAAAAGTTATTGAATCCAGCACTATATCCATTGGTAGAATCTTTTAATATTAGAACTAATTATTTTAGGTAGATGGAAGGAATGATTACTATTTCTAGAGTTGTAATGTAGATACTAATAAATATTGTAGGGTTGAAATATTGCAGGGTTGCAGGGCAGAATTCTTCTTCAGAAGGCAGAAAGCTGGAAATAAATATTTCCTACTCCAATAACACAAGACAGCTGAAGAACTAAAAATATTTTAACTTTTCTGGAGCCCCTCAGAGGGCTACAGTTTCAAGGCAAACGAGTAGTGTAAACTCTATGGAAAAGCAGGACCCACTAAGGGGATGACGCATGCGCATTGGTTCACCTGAGAAGAACACAGAAGGAAGGGAAGCCAGGTACTGTAACCACATAAGAAGAATTCGTTAACAATGTTCGATGGGTTGCTAAAGAAGCAGTGTTTAGAGGAATGGCATGAGAAGTTAGAACCTCTTGAGAGATACACACAAAACGACGTTCACTCACTCAGGGGCTGCTCTCCACAGACGAACTCCGAGTGGGTGTAAGAAAGTGTAGGCCGGGCGCGGTGGCTCACGCCTGCAATCCCAGCATTTTGGGAGGCTGACGCGGGCGGATCACGAGGTCAGGAGATCGCGACCATCCGGCCAACGTGGTGAAACCACGTCTCTACTAAATATATGAAAATTAGCCGGGCGTGGTGACGGGCACCTCTAGTCCCAGCTACTCAGGAGGCTGAGGCAGGAGAATGGCGTGAACCCGGGAGGCGGAGCTTGCAGTGAGCTGAGATCGCGCCTCTGCACTCCAGCCTGGGCAACAGACCGAGACTCCGTCTCAAATTTAGGACAGCCTGTGAGATCAGAGTCACCCTCTCATGGTGTAAGCCTGGAGGAGGACAGCAGGGACTCCTGTGGGAAAGGTGACCTGTGATTCTTCTCTAACGACTAGAGGGACCATAAGCCCTGTTGCACAGATGAAGGCCCATTGCAGCTGGGGGAAGTAAAAAAGAAACAAAATAGTTACTCCTGGACACAAAACAGAAAACTGTGTTGTGGTCTCCAATCACTGTAGATGGGCCAGGAATTTCTGTCCCATACAAAGTCCAACAAATAAGCAAGGCATATTGTAGCTACCATTGAGAACAGATTTCCTGAGATTCATTGAGGGCAGATTAACTAAGAAAACCCTGATAATGAGATGCCAAGGATTGGGGGTCTTCCTAAGACAGGACAGTAGAAAACTCCTTGCTTTCTAACAGGCCAGCAAGCATCAAGTAAGCAGCAAGATAGGGTACCCATGAGAAGGGGCAAGAAAGACATAGAGGGAGAGCCAGTCTGACATGTACATACACAGAAAAGCCAAAACTAAGGGTAGTGAAGGAAAATTCTGATTCCATTTATGTGATATTTGGGGAAAGGCAAAACCATAGTTAGAGAAAATAAATCAGCATTAGCCAGGGGCTTCAGATCAAGGGATTGGTTTACTACAAAGTGTCCCTGGGGCACATTTTGTGATGATGGGAACATCCTGTATCTTCACTGTTTTCGTGGCTACATGACTGTGTATTTGCTATAACTCACAGCACTGTACATTAAAAAGGGTTATTGTATGAATGTATGTTACATGTTATAATCTATGTTATGTATGTTATACAATATACTTTATACTTATATATGTAAATTATCTCATTAACTCTGACTTTAAACAATTCTGAGTCAACATAACATTGTTAAATATCTTCAGTCCGGGCACAGCGGCTCATACCTGTAATCCCAGAACTTTGGGAGGCCGAGGTAGGATGATCCCTTGAGCCCAGGAGTTGAAGACCAGCCTGGCAATGTGGTGAAACCCCATCTCTACAAAAACTACAAAAATTAGTCGAGTGTGGTGGCACCTGCCTGTGGTCCCAGCTACTTGGGAGGCTGAGGTGGGAGGATCACTTGAGCCCAGGGAGGTTGAGGCTGCAGTCAACCATGATCAGAGGAGGAGAAGTTTAAATGTAAATAAGTTCCATATTTCAAAAACTATGATGAAATAATTAGATCGAGACCTCAAAATTGATGGGGATGTTTATCTTATAAATGAAAACTATCATTTGTAAACGTCAGTCGGAACACTGACCTACCTGCCTGGTTCTTTCAATGAAATGAAGTCCTCCTGAAAGAAAAGCATTGGGAGATTTTAATAAACATTAAGAATACCTCATCCCCTGAAGAAGAAATATTAAGGGTAAAGATAATATGCTGATATTAATTCTCTTTCAATTATTTCAACTTTCTAGAGAGAAAGATACTATTTGATAATTATCAACAAACTGCTTTACTCTGCCCATTTCAGGCAGTCTCAGAGAAATAAGATATCTACAAATGAGACACATGATTGTCTGATAAACGATGTAACAATTTATCAGTGCTCCTGGTGAAAGTCTAGAGGAGATATTTTTCTAGTTTTATTTATTAGTCTTATCAGTGCATGAATGCTATTTGAAAGCTAATTATTATTAAGAGACTCTATTTTATTACATAAGAAAAGCAAACATAACCTGAGATTTCAGCGTGATATGTTAGTTGTATTTCATTTTATTCCTCGGTACTCAAATCATCATACTTCTGAACTAGTCCCCCCTAGGGTTTAGTTTATTTAGTATCATTGATCCTCTCTTGCTCCTACTAATCAATTTACATCTACGGGAATGAAGTGGTTCCAAATTTTGGGCTCCGCATAGCCCTACGCTTAGCTTCCTTACTGAAGTTGCCAGGTAAGCAAAACATGTTAGCTCGAACACCCAAGTAAGACAAATGCTACATTCATCTCGATGTTTCAGACATACACATACTTTTTCATCTAGTACTGTTCAATAAACCTCAAATACTTGCTCTCGGACCCTTTAACCAAATTTCGTCAATGTGTGCTTAAATGTTTCCAAAGGCATTAGTTGAAATTGCAACCAAATTTGACCTCTGTCATGTTGACTATTGGCACTGTTCAGTATAAGCCTATGCACTTGAAAATTGTGGCATTTTTCTCTGTTCCATTCCAGAGTAGCATTTTTCCATTTTCTTTTTTTTTTCACCATTTTTTAAAGACTAGTACGGTGTCTATAATTTAAAAATCTCAGTTGTGTGTCTGCAACTGAGATTTTAAATTATAGAATTTTAGAACTAGAAATCATCAAAAGTTATGGAAATCCAGCATACATGCCTGCAACTGAAGTCTGTTTTTTTTTAGTTTAGGCTTTATTAGAATAACATGAGAACTTTAAGGTTTTTTTAATAGTAGTTTTACATGGTCATGCCATTGAAACCTATGCCAGATATGGCCTTGAAAAAATAAGTAAGAAAACCATTTGGAGTGTGTGCATTCAGGTTACAGTTAACTTTGGCAGTGAGTAACGCAGGTGTATTGGCTCTGCCTCTAGTGAAAAGCAACTAGGGCATATCTAGGGGCCTTAGACCACCTAGAATTCTGTTTGCCCTCTTGCATCACTGAAGGGTAACTATAAATCTTTTGTGCTAAAATTCCTCACAAGAAATATTCATTCTTTCCTAAGCAGAGATATAAATATTTATCCTTCCCTCAGCAGCTATTTTTTAAAAAATGTATTTTCAAATTAAAACTTGTTGTCTTACTAAACACCAAAAGAAGGGAAGAAGCAAAGGAGAGAGGGAGGAAGCAAATGAGGGAGGGAGGAAGCAAAGGAGGGAGGGAGAAAGCCAAGGAGGGAGGGAGGAAGCCAAGGAGGGAGGGAGGAAGCCAAGGAGGGAGGGAGGAAGCCAAGGAGGGATGGAGGAAGCCAAGGAGGGAGGGAGGAAGCCAAGGAGGGAGGGAGAAAGCAAAGGAGGGAGGGAGGAAGCCAAGGAGGGAGGGAGGAAGAAAGAGAGGGAGGCATGGGAGTGAGATATGAGTTGGAAATCCTGGGATGTCACTTTACTGGCTGTATAACTTAGTTCATCTTGTTTTTGTGACCAGAAATACCTTTCAGGGTGTTATCCAATGTAAAATAGTAACTGTTATGCAATGTCTTCCTTTTCTAGTCTGTATTTACTTAGATATACGATACTTCCTTTATTTTCTTTTTTATTATTATTACACTTTAATTTCCGGGATACATGTGCAGAACATGCAGGTTTGTTAACAGGTATGCACGTGCCATGGTGGTTTGCTGCACCTATCAATCCGTCATCTACATCAGGTATTTCTCCTAATACTCTCCCTCCCATAGCCCCCACCCCCAACAGTCCCCAGTGTATGATGTTTCCCTCCCTGTGTCCATGTGTTCTCATTGTCCAACTCCCACTTATGAGTGAGAACATGCTGTGTTTGGTTTTCCGTTCTTTTGTTCGTTTGCTGAGAATGATGGTTTTCAGCTTCATCCATGTCCCGGCAAAGGACATTTTTAGAATTTTTTTTTTTAGAGACAGGCTCTCACTGTGTCACTCATGCTCGAGTGCAGTGACACAATAATAGTTCACTACAGCCTCGAACTCCTGGGCTCAAGGGATTCTCTTGCCTCAGTCTCCTGAGTAGCTAGTTCTAGAATCACATGCCACCACAATGGTTTATTATTATTATCATTATTTTGCAGAGAAGGGGTATCACTATGTTGCCCAGGCTAGTCTAGAACCCTGAGCCCCAAGCGATCCTCCCACCTTACTTAGCCTCCCAAAGTGCTGGGATTCCAGGTGTAAGCCACCACACCTACCGTGTTATTTCTTTTTTGTTTTGTTTTGTTTTGAGATGGAGTCTCGCTCTGTCACCCAGGCTGGAGTGCAGTGGCGCGATCTCGGCTCACTGCAAGCTCCACCTCTCGGCTTCACGCAATTCTCCTGCCTCAGCCTCCTTAGTAGCTGGGACTACAGGCGCCCACCACCATGCCCGGCTAATTTTTTTTCGAATTTTTAGTGGAGATGGGGTTTCACTGCGTTAGCCAGGATGGTCTCGATCTCCTGACCTCATGATCCGCCCGTTTCGGCCGCCCAAAGTGCTGGGATTACAGGCGTGAGCCACCGCGCCTGGCCCCTACCCTATTATTTCTTAAGCAACACTTGGTGGCAACGAGGATAAATGTAGTAGGGAGAGAACAGGAGGACAGAGGGACAAATGGACAAACAAGCCTTCTCACCTTCTAAGACCATCTGTCATAGAGTGGCAGAGCAGAAACCATTGCGGGGAATTTTGGAGGGGAGTGAAAATGCACTGCACATTTGGTTCAACACATATGGAAGCCTAATGATGACACGGCTCCACACGAGGAACACACATCCTGTCTTCTTCACTCGATTCTCACAGGGGAAGGCTAGGCTGGCAAAGCTCACGGAATTAAGAAAGAAAGAAAATATACAGGTTCTTTCCCAAACATGGCTACATTTTGTTTCATTTTGCTAAAGAATGCACTGTAATCCATACAAGATTTGCAGTTTTCTCCTCTAAAAAAACTGTTTGGAAAAAAAAAAATTAATGCTTCTCAATAAGTGCTTTAGATGTAAAGGATCATTGTTTGTTTATTTTTTCTCTTTTTAAATAAGCATCTGCCCAGCTACTATCATTGAAAAGCTGTTTTCCACCTCAATTCTTTTGAGAACCCCAATTATAAAATATGAAAATAAAATTTAGACTGTTGTGGACTGAAAGCGATGTTGGCTTAGGAAGCACTGTAGGAGTCAGCCACTCTCCTTCTGCAACATTGATCCCAGCTTCCTGGGAACTGGTAGCCCTTCAATCCTCTTTTTTTTTTTTTTTTTTTTTTTTTTTTGCTTTTTTGAACTCTAAGTTTTTTCCCTCTGCAACGAAACTCTACCTTCCCTTTTTGTAACAACTGAGAACACCTTCCCTCATGTGTCACTGTTTCATCTTCTACTGTCAGACTCCAGGTACTTAAACATGAAATTGCTTGTTTAAAAAGTCACAATTATACTTCTTCCCCATCTCCAAATCTTTTTCTCCTCCTGAACTGTGCAGGATTAATCATGTCCAAGTCTTACCTTCCTAAATATTTTCAAATACTTAACAATTTATTTATGATCTGCATTCCCCTTTCAGTATCCAGTCTAGCTTAATGAGCGTAAAAAAAGACAAAAGTGGAGAAAACACATCTGAAAGTCATGTATCTTCTCCCTCCGTCCATGCCACGTGCCAGAAATGTCTTCTCTTCTGAGTCCATTGAGTAAGAATTCTAGCTTCCTACTGAAACTGCCTTTGCAAAATTTTAACTGAAGAAATTATGACAGTGAAAGAAATCAGACCTAACCGACACCATCTTGCTTCTAACCTTTAAGCTGCCTTGTTCATTCCTGGGCATAGGCTGATACAACTTTGAGAAGGAATACAGTTCATAGTTTGACTCTGAAACAAAATTCATGACACCTCTTTCCCGAAAAGTCCCCCTTCTCACCTGGGAACCAGTCTGCCTTTGCAGGACTCACAAATTAGCTACAAGCTTAGAAACTACAGTTTAGGGGTCCCGCAGCCTCTGGCTCCAAGAATCTGAACATCCCCAAATTGGTCCTGGGGAAAACATCACTACTGTAAAACCTAACATCAGTGCTTGAGATATTTTGCAGTCCCTGCACTCCAGGAATCAGCTGACACTATTCAGACCAGTAGTCTGGCTCAACCAGTTCTGCCATCCCACTCAGGAACAGAACACACCAAGAAAAACTCACTTCAACCCCCTATGATTCCATCTCCAACCTGCCCCATCATAACTCCCTAGTTCCCAAGCCCTTACCCGCCAAATTATCTTTAAAAATTCTGATCCCCCAATGCTTGGGGAGACTGATTTGAGTAATAATAAAATTCGAGTCCCCTGCACAGCTGGCTCTGTGTGAATTACTCTTTCTCCATTGCAATTCTCCTGTCTTGATAAATCGATTCTGTCTAGGCAGTGGCCAAGGTGAACCCATTGGGTGGTTACACCACAAGACTCTTCCTAATTAGTATTCTTTTGAATACCACCAGCTTCTATCCTATTTCTGTGTCTGTGTAGGTATATGTGTGTGTGAGAGAAATGGAGACAGAGACACAGAGAGAGAGAGAGCAAAAGGGAAAAAGACAAGGAGAAGAGAAAGAGAAGAAGAACAGGGCGATGGAGAGATAGAGAAACATCGAGAGAGGAACAGAGAGAGAGGGAGAGAAGTAATCAGAGAGAGAGAGAGAGACACCAAGACAGAGGCACACAGAGAGAGGGAGAGAGGGACAAAGAAAAGCAACAGCAGGAGGAGGAGAAGAAAAGAAAAAACATGAGGATAAGTGAACCTCACCAATCACAGGATTCTCTCACTATGGCCAATAGTTGAAACAAAGTGATAAGAACATAAGGCTCAAGGAGAATACCTTTCTCTTTGCCTCAGTCACTTGCAATTTTAGGCAAAACACTAACGTTACCATGTTCAGCTGCAAGGAGAGAGGTCCCTGAGTGATTAGTTTTATGACAGGATTTACACACATCCTGTAGGCAAAGGGGGGTTATGACATTCCAAACAAGAAATATGGTAGAAAGATTTAGTATTGATACCATGTATCGTTTCTAGCTACAAACTTAATTATCTCTTAGCAGCCAAAATTTATTTTATTTTAGGATGGGTAGATACAGGAAGGGCTAGAAGCACACAAACAAAATTTTCTTCCTTTCTCATCTATAAAACTTCCTAACTAACTCTATCTGGAAACCTCTATCAGCCATATGCTGATAGAGGTCATGTGTATCTCCTCAATAATAGCTTTTCTTGCCCTAACAAATGACCTAGAAGAAAGAAAACTGGATTGCTGCAACATTTAAAATCCTCTGGTTGTTCAATTACGTTGAGCTACAACATTGACAAGCTTATTTTTGTTTTGCCTCTAATATTCATGATACAAACTCCAACAAGTGTTACTAAAATAATTTTGTTCTTTAAGAATTCACAATTATTTCCATCAATCAGCAGGTATTGGATGCTGGTGAATGACTAATGCTACACCTGGGAATTTGGATATTTTGATGAATTTGATTATTGATGAAAGGCAACCCTTGCCTTTTAAAAGGTACTATCTACTTATGAATTCATTGTGCTACATTCCAATAACAGGCATGTTCTAGGACTACTAGTATATATACACACACACACACACACACACACAGATATATCTATATAAATATATATAGAGAGAGATATATCTATATCTCTATATCTATCTTAATAGTGGATACATATATATCTTAGTGTATATAATCTTATAGCTTATGTATATGAATATACATTAACTATATTAAATATTAAATATATATTAAATAGTATATGTGTGTATACATATATGTGTATATATACACTAAATATGTGTATATATACTACATATGTGTATGTGTATACTGTATGTACACACGTGTACACATGTGTAAATATATACTATATATGTGTATATGTGTACACTATACACGCATATATAGTATACATATATACTAGTATATATGTATACACACATATACTATGTATATACTATATATGTATATATACACCTATATACGTGTGTGTGTGTATATATTATTTTATATATTGTATGAGAAAAGCTAATACAATATATATATTTTCTAATACTGTATATATACATATATATGTATATATATATAGTATTAGAAAAGCTATTTTTTTTTCAGTTTTTCTTATTATTTATATAAGAACGTGGGAATAAGTCACAGAGCCATTTCCTCTGTTTTTTCCTCTGACCTTTGGAATTATTCTTGAGATACTAAACTATCAGTAAAATGCCAGCAGACAGAGGTGAACTTAGCACTTGTGTGTCCTTTCTTTCTTTCAGTAGTCAAGTACAGTTCTTTCTGAAATTGCAGAAGCCTCTCAAGCATATAATTTGTGGCTTCCAATGAGTTTGAACTTTATGCTTGAAGTGACACACAAGTAAGTGATTTAATTCATGCACCTGTATCTGGATTTTTTCCAGACGTAATGAAATGGGTAACTACTTCAGAATTTTCCTAGTAAGTATTGAAGCAAGACATCAGAAAGGCACTGAATGGCATATTTGGGCAGGAAAAGCAACAACATGCTTAAGGTTGAGCCGTGACAAGCATCTGGGTTCAGCCCTTGAGACAAAAACTGAGCATTTCTTACTCCCAAGACCAGGCCCTCTGACTTCAATGATGTACAATTTTCTCATTACAAAAACTATTGTACCCAAAGGTATTCCTGTCAGCTTTCTAATTATTTTCTCAGTTTGAAATAAGACCGTGTCTTTAATAAGAAAGAGGTTTTGTCCTGTGATTGTTCTTCGCATCAACACAACAGTACAGAGAATGAGCACACAGGGGAAACACCACAAGGACTCACCAGAGGAGAAAGGCATTTGTGATAATAAATGTAAATTCTTCCCCCCAGGTGATTATCAAAATATGAGTATTTGTGTAGCAGTCAATTACCATAGTCATCAACTATAGAAATTTAATAAGTAAAAACAAAATAAATCATTGCCTTAGCGCTCTGTTTTCAATGATACTATTTCCATAGTTACTGTTGATGAGGTTACATAATCCCTAATCCACATGCTTTGTGTTTTAGATCCATGGTCAGTGTATCCATATAACCCAGTGTCCATATAACCTAAAGTCTCCATAGCTGTATTCCACATGGGGACTCGACAAAGGCAGAACAGATAATTGCTCTAACTTTAAATGTTGTTTCTTTTTTCTTTTTCTCTTTTCTTTTTTTTTTTTTTTTTTGAGATAGAGTCTCGCTTTGTTGCCCAGCCTGGAGTGCAGTGGCAGGATCTCGGCTCACTGCAGCCTCGGCCTCCTGGGTTCACACCATTCTGCTGCCTCAGCCACGCGAGTAGCTGGGATTACAGGCGCCCGCCACTATGCCTGGCTAGTTTTTGTATTTTTGGTAGAGACGGGGTTCCACCACATGGGCGAAGCTGGTCTTGAACTCCTGACCTCAAGCGATCCACCTGCCTCAGCCTCCCAAAGTGCTGAGATTACAGGCATGAGCCACCCCACCTGGCCAAATGTTGTTTCTTTAGTATGTTTTGTGACCAGTATTTTAACAGTGATCCAAGTGGGCTTAACAAACTGCATTTGCTTGTTTTGCATTCTGGTATAATAAAGATTTTATTTTCTCCATATTTCTTCTCTCAAGCAAAAATTATCAATGGAGTTTAGTAATACTTGAAATGGACCCAAATTGAAAATAAGATGCCGACAAACAGTTGTGTAGAGGTCATGACATCATCATCAAAAATATTTAGTTTAACCTAAGGATTTATTGGGCAAGTGAATACAAAGACAGAAAGCAGAGAGCACTGGAGAGTCTGGCAGTGGAACAAGAACTCCTACTGGCGTCTTTGTTTCTCTCATTATGTCATTTCAGAAGTCACCGGACTTCAAGACTGCAGTTCCATCCTCAGGGGCAGAAAAAGGTCATTACATGGCTCTATCAAGTAATAGCATATGGCCACAGGGAAATCAGTTGACTGATTTAGAAAATGAAGGCTATAACCTGCTAAATCTCTAAGGTAACTTTCAGTTATGCTTTCACTCAAAGATAAACTTGGTATTTGCCATTGTGGCCAGATATTTAACATATGGTTGAGTAAGTTAAAAGGAAATTATACGAAAGATATTTAGGGATATGTTGGCAGAGCTTAGAGAGCTTAGAACAAGACCCAATCTAACCAGGGAAGTAGTCAGGAAAGGTCTCCTTGAGAAACTGTCATTTAAGTTGAGACTTGAAGGGTTAGTGGGAGGTAGGTAGGGTGAGAGCTGCTAATATTTCAGACAGGGCAACAGACTATGTGAAGGCCTGAAGCTTAAAATCAATATGGCCTTGGGAGAAACTGCAAGAAGGTGAGCAAGGTAAGTGTGGACCGTCCTTGAAGGCAATGCTAAGGTTTTCAGTTTTATTTTAAGAGCCACGGGAATCCGTTGAAAGGTCTTAAGTCAAAGGAGAGATATGATCAAATCGATTGTTAAAAAATAACTTCGGAAAAAATATGGAGAAAGATTGGAACAGATTGATAGTAGAACCTGAAAATTATGGGTAATTGCAATGATTTTAAGATTGGCATGACTTAGTTATGGCTTCAGTGTGGGCATAAGGACAAGGTAAACACCAGCTTTTTTGTCATATAACTGAATGCATGATGGTGATCCTGATGGACCTAGGAAAGACTAAACAATAAGAAGATTGATTGATTGATTATTTGTATGTTTATGGGAGAGGGTAAAAAAAAT